>NC_000007.14:149458379-149609894 GCF_000001405.40 Homo sapiens
TTACAGCCCTTGCCTTAGAGGGAGATTAGGGTATCTGCCTAGCACTAGAAAGAAGAAGAGGAAAAAATCCCTGGGGAGCAAGTTAGTCTCTCTGAGTAATGCAGAGGTTTAACTGAAACAATGAAACAAAACAAAACAAAACAAAACAAAACAAAACAAAACAAAACCCTCCAGTATAGTAAACAGAGCCAGCAGACCAAGGCATCTTTACCAGCTAGACAAATCAGAGCTCAAAGGAAAATACTATTTCTTTGCTATTATTAGACTGTCTCTCTCCATTTCCGGATTTGGAGGACTGTAGAGGGGCCACAGGAGGGTGTTCCCTCCCTCGCCTCCCAAATAAAAGCCCTTTGCTATAATTTAATCCATCCCGGTAAACCTGCCGCTTATCTTACCCTAAGCAGAAAGAAATGACCAAAGAGAGGGAGGGAGCTGTAAATATACCTAAAACGAATAAGCTCAAATTCTCAAATTCCTGGTAGGGGGTTGGAGGGAGAATTCTTCTGAACCATATTTGTAGGATTTAACGGTCCCTCCTTCCCCGACGGATCAGGAGTGGATGGATTCTCCAGGATTCATGCCACATTAGCAGAAGCATCCATAACCACAGTATCTGACTTATTAAGAAAGTCATGGCATTTTTTTGAATGACCCAGTATGGTTCACCCAGCATTATATACCATTCAAGGGCCCCGAAGGCCTGAGCCCAGAGTAAGGCATGTAAACATCTTCGTTTGATTTTATTTTCTCATGAGTTTTTTTTTGATTAAAGAATTGGGATGCTTTTTAGAAAGCTATATATCCTGCCTCCTTCCTGTGTACACAATAGGAAACTGAGGCTCAAAGGCACTGACTCCCATGCAGTAATCCTCTCACTAGCACGGCCAGGGCGTCTCAAAGAGCAGGTCTGCGGGAGGATCTGAGGGATGATTTTTTAAGAGTGTCTTCCTGAAGAGGAACATCAGCCCCCAACCCCTGAGAAGCTTACTCCCCAGACACCATCTGTCAGGGCACTCAAAGTTTAGCCTACGACCTTCCAGACGCAGAGGCCGGAGGCAGAGGCTGGAGCTCAGAGGGTCACCTGCTCCCACCGCGGAGATGCCCAGCTGGGCGCTGCCCGGCCTCCCCCGCCGCCCCCGACGGGCCGCGTCCGCTGCCAGGGCGGCCCAGCCCCTCACCCAGGGGCGGCCGCCGCCAGAGCCACCCCCTCCCCGTCCAGGCCCGCAGCCCTCTGGGCAGGCCTTTCTGGGGCTGCCGCACCGTGCCACGGATGCCTTGCTACGTGACCTTGGGGCCGGCAGGGCGGGTCGCCGCCAGGTGTCTGTGCCTCAGTGTCTCCGTTCTGCGAAATGGGAGAGCCGCGTCAGCGCCGCGCCCGGGCCGGGGAAGGCTCCGCGGGGCCGAGCTCTGCGGAAAACGTGCCGGCGGCTACCCCGACGGACGCAGCGCGGGCCCCGCAGGGAGCGAGCGCGCCTCCGGGCGCCCCACCTCGGGGCCGCGTGTGTGCCGGGCCGGGCGTGAGAGCAGCCTCCCTCGCACGGACGGCGGCGAGGCCCGTAGCCCTCCCCCACCGCCCGGGTCAAGACGCGCGGGCCCCCTCCAGGGCGCCCCCACCCCCCGCGCCAACGTCGTAGCGTTTCTGCCCCTTACCGAGATCCCAGGCCGGGCCGCCGAGCCCGGGACACGCAGGCCGTCCCCGGGGCCCCGAGGCCGCGCGTCCGTGCGCGCGCGGGCCGCCCTCACAGGAGCCGGGGCCGCCTCGGCCATGGCCCTGCGCTGTCCGGCCCGGGCCCCCGGAGTCGCCGCCGCTACTGCCGCCGCCGCTACTGCGCGCGGCCCCACGCAGGCCCGGCCGCCCGGCGCTCTCCGCAGGCGGCGCCGGCCCAGCCCTGTCTTCCCCGCCGGGGCTCGCGCGCGGCCGTCGGGCCCCGGCCTGCTCGGGGCGCGCGGGGCGAGCGGGCGCGGGGTCGCGGAGCCCGAGCGGCGGCGTCGGAGCTGGGCGCGCGGCTGTGCGGGCGGCCCGGCCGGCTGCGTCCCGGCGGCGAGCTGGGCCCCGGCCCTCAACGGCGGCCCCCGGCCCGCGCGCCGCCCCTCTGCGGCCGCGGCTGGGACCCCAGCTCCGGCCCCGGCCCCGGCTGCGAGCTGCGCTGCCGTCCCGGCGCCTCTTTAGCAGGGGAGCTGCACAGCAGCTGCCATGTTGCTACAAACTGCATCCTGGGAGGCATGTCCCTCTCAGGCCGTTTAAAGAGAAACACTCCGAGGCTCGTCGGAGGCTGCCGGAACCCAGACAGCTCCATCTACAGCCGGTAGGAGCGAACAGTGTCGAGCGAGCCGCCCGGCGGCGACGGACACGCCCTGAGCCCGGGCCAGCCCGTCGTGGAGCCCGGGCCGAACCGCCGGGGCCTCCCACCCTCCAGGACCCTCCGGCCTCTCACCTGGGGTCCTCGCCTGCCCAGGCACCCTCGGGCGAGGCCGGGAGGCGCGCGGGCGGAGGCGCAGTCGGAGCGCGCAGCCCAGGCGACGTGCTGGGGTCTGGAGGCGGCTTGATTGGCTCCGACAGCCTTCCTCCCGCCGATCCCCTGCGCCTCTCACACCCAGAACCCGGGGTCGTTCCCTTTCAAAACCTGCGCTCACAAAGGGATCTAAGAAACCCGTCACACCAGAGAAAGCCCGGAGTTCATGTGACCAGCTCAGTGCAGCCCGGGTTCCAGGGACGCGGGCTGTGCTTCCAAGGGGAGCCAGGGGGTTGGGTGCTTTTGTGAAATGCCCGAGTGTTGTTTTCGACATGAAAGGACCGAATTCCTAGAATCAGACCCTGCTGGGGCTGGAAGTGGCCAGACGGGTCATTTAGGAGGAAACTGAGGCCGAGTGGGCAGCGACTTGTTTACCCTCAGTCACAGTATGAATGAATGCTCTTTGTAACCATGAGAAGTCCCAAAAGAAATGCAGGAGCTTAGAGTTGAGAACTCCCCTTCCTGGACAGGTCCACTTAAACATGTATTAATTGAATACCTACGAGGTGGCGAGAACTGGGGATGAATTGAAAAGGAAAAAAAAAGAAGAAACTATAGGCAGGCGTCCTGGTTACTAGCGATGAAGCCCAACTGGAACTAACTTAAGTGAGGGAAGACGGCGGGGGGGAGCAGAGGACATTGTGTTTACCTAATGGAACCCCAGGAGTGGAGCTGGTCTTGGAAGGCAACAGGACTCAGTATGCTGGCAGCTCAGATAATGGAAAGTTATGGCCAGACGTGGTGGCTCATGCCTGTAATCCCAGCACTTTGGGAGGCTGAGGTGGGCAGATCACGAGGTCAAGAGATCGAGACCAACCTGGCTAACGTGATGAAACCCTGTCTCTACTAAAAATACCAAAATTAGCTGGACGTGGTGGCGCGGCCCTGTAGTCCCAGCTACTTGGGAGGCTGAGGCAGGAGAATCTCTTGAACCCGGGAGGCAGAGGTTGCAGTGAGCCGAGATCGCCCCACTGCACTCCAGCCTAGGGGACAGATCAAGACTCCGTCTCAAAAAACAAAAAAAAGGAAAGTTACAGATAGAGGTAAGGCCAGAGCTATGCATCCTGTCCCCTCCCTTCCCGGAGGCTAGAGTTCTCACCCAGGTCTTTATGCATTAACTAACATGTGTGCATTCGTAAACAATGCACACTACTGGTTTTGGTATTTTTACATTTTATGTGAATGATATTATCCAGTCCCTATCCTGTTGCAACTTGCTTTTTTCCATGGGTCATTTTGTTTTTGAGATACAGACATGTTTAAACAAGAATATCTGGTTCATTCATTTTACCCACAATATAGTATTTCATTGAATACATAAACTACAGTTTACGTTCCATTCCCCCTAGAGGAATGAGAACAAACCTGCTGCCAGCGACATCTGCATGCATGTCTCATTGTGCACTGCTAAAGTGCGTCTCTAGAGACGCCTAGACATGGGACTCTGGATGGCAAGAGCACCTTCATCTTTCCCCGGCTTCCCGAACTGCTCACTGAAGGGATGGTGCCTACTTACACACCCACTATCGTGTGATTTTCTCTTTCCCCATCCTGGCTCATACTTACTGATAATGGACTCAGAACGTTTGCCGACATGATGACTGTGAAATGGTAGCTCATTATTTTAATTTGTATTTGTATTTCCCTGATTAATGAAGTTGGACATCTTTTCATGTTTACTGACATTTGGTTTCTTCCTCTGTGAATTTCCTCTTCATATCATTTGCCAATGTTTCTGTTGTGAGATCTTTTTCTTATTGGCTTATAGGTATTTCATTAAAAATCTATTCTGGATCTTAATCATATCACCAAACATTTAATGTGATTACTAATACGATTGCATTTAAATCTACCATCTTACTAGTTATTTTCTGTGTGTTCCAGGTGTTCAGTGATACCTCTCTCTCTCTCTCTCTCTCTCCCCAACTGCCTGCTTTGAGGTTGAGGTTTTTTTTTTTAATTCTATTTTTATATTAGTATTCTATTTCTTAGTAATTTCTATTTTTCACCATTCTCTTACTAGTTACATATAATTTTAAATGGTTGTCCTCAGTTTTACAATATACATCTTTAATTTTCTAACAGTCTACATAAATTATGCCACTTCACATATGGTGTGATAACCTTACAACAGGTTATCCCTACCATCTTTTATACTGTTGTTAGCATACATTTTATGTTTATGTATATAATCTCCACAATACCTTGTTAGATGGGCAGATGGCAAATATCTTCTCCCAGCCTGTCTTTTAACATGTTTCATGGTAAGTGTTGCACAAACATTAAAATTATTTAAAGTATTATTTATATGCAGTGTAATGCACAGATTTCAAGTTTATGGCTTTTCTAGCTTTGACAAATGCAAAGACTTAAGTACTCCATACCTGCCATCAAGATATAAAACATTTCAGTCGGGCATGGTGGCTCATGCCTGTAATCCTAGCACTTTGGGAGGCCGAGGCAGGTGGATCACCTGAGGTCAGGAGTTCGAGACCAGCCTGGCCAACATGGTGAAACCCCATCTCTACTAAAAATACAAAAACTAGCTGGGCATGGTGGCGGGCGCCTGTAGTCCCAGCTACTCTGGAGGCTGAGGCAGGAGAATTGCTTGAACCTGGGAGGTGGAGGTTGCAGTGAGCCGAGATCATGCCACTGCTCTCCAGACTGGGCAAGAGAGCAAAAAGTGTCTCAAAAAAAAAAAAAAAAAAAAAAGATATAAAGCATTTCATTACTGAAGAAAGTTCCTTATGTTTTTTTTCAGTCTTTGAGTTCTGATGAATCCATGCATCTGTGTTCTGCCATGGTAGATTACTTTTGCCTTTTCATAGAAATGGAATCATACATATACACTCTTCTGTATGTAGGTTCCTTTAGTCAGCATACTGTTTTTGAGATTCAGTCATGCTGTTGCATTTTCAGTAGTTCAGTCCTTTGTGTTTCTCAGTAGTACATATTTCATTTCATAAAATGACATGCTTAATATGAATTTACTCCTATAATTGTGTATACTCTTGGTTTATTTTCCCCTCACAAGATTACCAACTATATATTTGCACATTAATACTGAATATTGTGTAATCAGCTGCAGATTTTTGTTATGAATTTATCACAATAGGAATTGTTTCAAAAACAGTATTAAATTGTTAGCAAAAAGTGTTTTGTATTTTCTTCAGTAAATGGTTCTTCTTTTTAAAAACATTTTGTATATTATTTTATTATTTCTTTCTGATTACTGCATTGTGGTTTTAAAGAGTAGCCTGAGTAAAATAGGTTATTTGGAATTTGTTGTGATTTGCTTTGCAATCTATTTTTGTAAATATTCCATGTATACTTGAAAAGAACAAAATCTCTAATTATTTGGATAAGACTAGTTGAATATGCTTTTGAAATTTTCTATATCCTAATTTTTGTTTATCAATTACAGAGAGAAGTATGTAGAAATCTCCCATTGCGATTTTTCCTTTTTTTCTTTGTAATTCTGCCGTTTTTTGCATTATGTATTTTGAGTCCACGTTGTTAGAAACATAGAACCTCATTTTTTTCATAACATTGTGATCTTATTTATCCTAGTAATGCTTTTTGCATTAAAGCCTGTTTTGTCCAGTAATATTAATGCTCCAGCTTTCTTTTGGTTAATGTTTGCTGGTATGTCTTTTTCTGTCCAGTGAGTTACTTTGAACTATTTTGTGCCCTCAAGTTTTAGGTCTATCGCTTGCAAACATCATGTGACAGGATGTCAAGCATCATTTTGCCTGTGTCTGGGAATTGAGGCTAAGGCTCAATACTAAGGACAAAAGATGTGAGGAACCCCGCATTTTAACTTCATGTGGCCAAAAGGAGTTGAGACAGTCACTCACAGAGCTGACCAGGAGGTACCACCTCAGGACTGGCCCACCACTGACACCCTCCCCGCTATACACAGAAAAAGAAGACTTCAAGAGAGGGAGATTGTTGGCTATTCCTTCCCTTTCTACCACATGAGAGTCTTGGTCTCCTTTTGTGGGAGCCCAGGACATGGCTCATGAGCCTTTTCAGTCTCCATGTTCCACTGTAGGGAAGAAGAGGAGGCCTTTGATATGTGTCTCCTGAAGTGTGTGGATGTACTGAATCATGGAAACAGACAGTATTTCATGTCGATTTCTGAAGAAGTAACTCATCAGAGTAGGGCTTAAGGCAACATAGGGGGCAGGCGGGGCTATTCCCACTCCATCCCAGTTCCTCTCAACCCGATGGTGCGATGAGACCTCATCAGCTTCCTTGCCTCCCTGGGACAGAGCACACAGATGAACGGGAGGGGCAGGGACTCTGCGGCTGCTGTGGGCCACAGGCCACAGGATGAGATGTCTGCCCCTGAGAAAGAGTTAGGGTCAATACTTTCCAGATCCCTCTCTTAGGAGTGATTCTCAGTGTCAGAGGGGGTGAGGGTGAAGCTGAGCCCTACCCCACTTACCTGGACACCACCATACCAGCAGATGCCTGCAGTCACAGGTGGAACCAAGCTGAATGAAGGTTCTCCATCAACAGATGTAAGCACATTCTCCTCTATCTCCTTTTTGACCTTATAAAGCCAAAAGTGAAGCTTTGTGAAGGCCTAGGCTAGTGTCTGTATGAAGGAAGCATGACAGGGTCTGAAGAGCAGACCACATGTTCTCTTCACCCCAAGCTGTTAGTGCTCTAGGTAGATCTAGCCTGAACCGGAGTTGAGGGGACCTGAGTTCTGTGTTGAGCTTCACTCAAAGTTCAAATGCGCCTCACACTAAGACTGAAATGAGACTTTTCTTAGAAAGTGATGAAATATAGTATTAGAATTTTGACAAGATGTCATATGGTATCAAATAGCTGGAAAGCAAGGAAGGGTTGACGTAGCACAACTACAGGGTAGTCATGAAGAAAAAGGAAAGCTATTTTATGGTTATGCTCCTATGAATTAGTACTCCTCCTAAAACTTAAAAGCATAGAACTGGATTTTTGTTTTCTTTTATAATCTGACAACTTGTTTTTAAACTAGAAAGCTTATTTTGTTTATATTTGTAGTGAATACGATGTATTTAGATTTTTTTCATCATTTTATTTTGTGATCTTTTCATCACTTCTTTCTCCCTTTCCCTACCTTCTATTAGATTAATGAAACTTTCTTCAATCAAATTTTCTCCCTCTGCTAGGCAACATTCTATTTCTATTTATCTAGCAGTTTTAATGAACATTTTAAACATGTGTGTTTGACTCACAAAGTCTATATGTAATTGATATCTCTGCCCTTTTCTTGAAGTCACAAGGACCATAGAATGCTTTCATTTTAATCATACTCCATCCACCTTACATGTGATTGTTTCCTAGTATTTTAGTTCCATTTTTTTGGTATCCCTAAAATTTGTATTGTTTTATAAAGTCAATGCGTGTTAAGATTTACTCACATTTACTGATCTTTTTTCTCACCATTGTTTCTTCTTATATCCTTCTCCTACAGGATTTACCTACTGAGTTCAAGTTTCTTCTTCCCAAAAGATAGTCCTTAGTAGTTTTTTTTCAGTGAGGGTCTATGAATGGAATATCTCAGTTTTTATTTTCTGAAAACATATTTGTTTGGTTTTGCTGTTGTATAATAGTTGATCAGGGTATAAAATCTTCATTGACAGTTATTTTCTCTTACCACTTTGTAGATGTTAGTCCATTGTCTTCTGACTTCCATGTTTACCATAGAAGAGTCTATTGTTAATCTAGTAGTTTTCCTTAGAAGCCAATCTGGTTATTTCCTCTGGTTGTTTTCAGGATGTCCTCTTTGTTTTTGGTGTTTGATAGTTTTATCACAATATTTTTACATGTGACTTTACCTTTTGTTGATGAAAATAGTCAACCTATAAAATATTTGAAGAGATTTTTTTCTGAGCCAAATATGAGTGACCAAGAAGTAAACAAAGAAAAAAAAATGAGTGACCAATGACCCATGACACAGCCCCAGGGGATCCAAAGTGGCTGGGCTACAGCTTGGTTTTTTATATTTTAGGGAGACACAAGACATCAACCAATACATGTAAGATATACATTGGTTTGGTCTGGAAAGGCAGGAAAACTGGAAGCAGGGCCTTCCAGGACATAGGTGGATTCAAAGATTTTCTGATTGGCAATTGGCTGAAAGAGTTATTATCTAAAGACCTGGAATCAATAGGAAGGAATGTCTAGGTTAAGATAAGGGGTTGTGAAGACTGAGGTTTTATCATGCAGATGAAACCTCCAGCTAGCAGGCTTCAGAGCTTTTATGAGACCTAAAAAGATGCCAGACTCTTAGTTAATTGTCTCCTGGATCAGGGAAAAGACCTGGAAAGAAACAGATTTTCTATAGAATGTAGATTTTTCCCCTCAAGAGACAGCTTGGCAGGGCCATTTCAAAATATGTCAAAGCAATATGTTTTGGGATAAAATACTACAATTTTTTCAGGGCCTGCTATTTTTCATGTGATGCCATACTAGAGTCAGGCTAGAATTTGTGTCTTATTGCTACAAAAAGTCTTTTCTGGCAGTCTTAGGATCTCCATTTTAATGTTAATGCTAGTCAGCTGTGCCTGGATTCCAAAAGAAGGAGGGTATAATGAGGCATGTCCAACCTCCACTTCCCATCATGGCCTGAACTAGTTTTTCAGGTTAGCTTTGGAATGCCCTTGGCCGAGGGAAGGGTCCATCAGTTAGTTGGGGAGCTTAGAATTTTATTTTTGGTTTACATTCTATTTACCTTATTCAGGACTTGTGCCTCTTAAATTTGAGGATTTATATCTTTCATCAAATTTTGAAAATTGTTAGCCATTTTTTTTTTTAAAGTTTCTTTTCTCCAGATTTCCTAATCATTGCTTTCTAGATGAGAGCATCTGATTAGATAGAGGCATGGTAAATATTCCTAGCCTATGCTTTTAACATGTCATGTTTCTGTCTATGATTTTCTCTCTGTGCCCTTCATTCTGGGTACTTTTCTTGTCTATCTTTGATTTAACTGATTCTTTTCAGCTGTATCTAGTTCTGCAGTTTCACCAGTCCATTAAAATTTTTCAATGAGTATATATTTTATTTCTAGAAATTCTGTTGGTTTCTTTTTCTTTTTCAAATGTTACTTTCTTTTTTATAATATCTTGATTTTTTAAAAAATTAAAGACTTTTGCACTCCTAGTATCTTGATTCATGTTAGTGTTTGGTGATTTCTATGCTTTTCCCACTCTGCTCTTTCTACTTTGTGCCATCTATTAGTCTTATACATTACAAAAATACGCATGTTATATTATCTTCTGAATTATCTTTACATGAATTCTAGCTCTTGGATTTTAATCCGCTGCTTGTGTTCTCACTGATGGTGGATTGTTTCCTTGTGGATTTTGCAACGTGTGACTTATGAGCTTACACTGAGCAGGGCTTGTGGTCTGGATTGTGGGATGGTTCCTCCTGTTTTTGAATTTGCTTCAGCCGGAAACCTCAAGTGCAATCATTGGGCTAAGGCCAATTTTTACGTCAATTTATTAGCCCAGTGGATAATGTACATTTGAATCACAAACCTGTATGAGGTACTAGCTGTGGTTTTGAATTCTCAAGGAAGATACTGCCCCCTCTGGTGCCATCACCCAGAGTCCGGCCTGAAACAGATAAACTCTCTGTCATCTGTGGCAGCCGTGGAGCTATGCCACTCACATCTCCATTCAAGAACTTACCATTCAGCTGCAAGGAGCCCTGCTAACTGACAGCTCAAGTAGTGAACCCCTTCAGGAAATGCCTTGGTTTTCATGCTTTTCTTGGGCAGCCCCAGCCCATGGCTGAGCAGGTGGGGTCCTAGGGCCTGATTATTTCTGCCCAACACAGGACTTCTCTGAGAGACAATATTTGCTCTAGAGCCCCTCATCGGGTTGGCTGAAACTCAGATCCACATCCTGCTCTGTTCCTGCTTCCTTGCCTCTTTCCTTTCACAGGTATTGGCCCTGCCTTGTGGCCTAAGACTTGCCTGAAAGATCCTGCTTCCTCCTCTGTTTATCTTCTACAGGCAGTATTCCCCAGTAGACCTCCTGAACTCCAAGCCATGTCTCAGTGTCTGCTTCCCAGAGATGCAACTAACACATCATCCTTTGGTGTTGGGATGCATTTTTTTCTGAACCATGTATTTAATGAAGACGAGGCCCTCGAAAATGAGGCCTTCAAGGGGCTTCATGAGGAGGTGCCAGTTTTTACCTGTCGGCCCAAGGCCTACATATCCTTCTCCTCACCCCACTCCAGGTAGGCCCAGCAGCGACCCATGTGCTGACAACTTGGGGGTACAGTTTTGCCTTCATTTGGGGCACACTGGAGTTTCCTTTTATTTCATTCTATCTTAGCTCTATATTTAAAGTTATGTTTATTAGGTCCTATCTGGAACTTCCAGATGTAATTGGGTCATACAATCCATAATATTTGCATTTATGACTCTTTGACCAAATTTTTTATAAAACATAATTATTTAAGTGTATGTATTTCATGTCTAAACTGTATTTTTAATGTTTTTAAATAATCAGGTACAATTGTACAACTCTGGGCTAAAAGAAACTTGACAATTACAACAAAATTAGAAACTTCATTTTATAGCTGTCAGGGAATGAAGGCCTCCTTGTGACTTCTAAGTTTCTTGCCTTATTTTTTAATTTAATTCCTTTTTAAAATTTTTATTTTTTGAGACAGAGTTTCACTCTTGTTGCCCAGACTGGAGTGCAATGGCATGATCTTGGCTCATTGTAACCTCCACCTCCTGGGTTCAAGCGATTCTCCTGCCCAGCCTCCCAAGTAGCTGGGACCACAGGCGCCTGCCACCACACCTGGCTAATTTTTCGTATTTTTAGTAGAGACGGGGTTTCACCATGTTGGCTAGGCTGGTCTCAAACTCCTGTTCTGCCCGTTTCAGCCTCCCAAAGTGCCAGGATTACAGGCATGAGCCACCGCGCCCGGCCTCTTGCCTCATTTTTAAACAGACAACTTTTACACACAAAGGGAGAGATGGTCTCATGAGGTGACGGATGGAGCCTGAGCAGGGGTCTGTGGGAAAAACAGGGGAGGTATCAGTTCCACCTGGAGAGATCAGGGAAGGCTGGGTGTTGCCTTGGGCCAAGACCTTGGGGAAAGTGGGAGTGCACCAAGTGGGCCACGAGGAGGGGAAGGAGGACACGACATGCAGTGGGAACGGCATGGTGCTCAGGGAAAGGCTGGCAGTTCGGTTTGTCTAGAGGGTGAGATGCAAGTGGAGGAGTGGATGAGGAGAACAAGGAAGGAGTACCCTCATGAGAGGCTGGATGTGCTGTGCTGAAGTATGGATTTCAGCCAGCAGATGACGGGGAGCCACTGGAGTACTTTAGATCAGGGAGCCTCAGTAAGCAGACTTCCCAGTTAAAAAGGCCCCCCTGGGTCAGTATGAAGGATGGACTTGTGCAGGGTGGGGGTAGGAGTTATAGACCTAAAGCCCAGAGACCTCTAACATGGCTTCAATGTGGAAAAATGATCGATGAATGTCAGAGGAATGCCAGCGTAATACTTACAAGTGGTCAGGGCAATCTTCAAAGATCTTGATGCTACTGAGATGGTTAAAGTGCAGCTTAACTCATCTTGTCTTCAATCTGCCTGTGAACATGACAATGATGCAGCATTGCAACCTAACAATGGAAAGAGTTGGAGGGAGGGGGCCATCTTCAGAAGCATCAGGAATAAGAGAACAAAACTGTAAAAAGATGAAGGAAAAGATGACAAGAGGAGGTAACAGCAAATGAGCACCTTTTGATGGGCAACAGAGGGTGGCCAAGATGAGGGAATGGCTGGAATGATGAACCTCAAATGTTCTCATTTTGGCACAAGTTATTTCAGTACCAGAACATATATGAATGTCCCAGGGAGTATTTGGCCTGGCCTCAGAGAAGCAATGAGGGTTGCCCTGACTCTTGGGAGGTGTGGTAAGTTGAATAATGCACCCGCCCCCCCCCACCCAGGATGTCCACATCCTAGTCCCCAGAACCGGTGAATGTGTTAACCTTATATAGCAAAAGGGACTTTGCAGACGTCGTTAAATTTGGATCTTGAGAGGGAGAGAGTATCTGAGTGAGCCCAATGTAATTCCAAGGGTCTTTAATGAAAGAAAGGCAGGACAGTGACAGTCAGAAAAGATGTGACAATAAAAACAGAGGTCAGAGTGATTCCTGTAGGAGGAAGGGGCCACAAGCCAAGGAATGGAGGGAGCCTTAAAGGTTGGAAAAGGGAAGGAAATGAATTTTCCTCTGAAGCCTCTGCCTCGGGAAGCAATTCTGCCCTCATGATACCTTGATTTTGGCTCCAGAACTCATTCTGGACTCTGATCACCACAACTGTAAGATAAACGTGTGCTGGTTTCAGCCACTAGGTTCGTTATCATTTGTTACAGCAGCAGCAGCAGCAGCAGCAGCAGCAGCAGGAAACTACTAGAGGAAGGGAACCCTGTGCTTGGCCAAGCATGATGCTTTGGGACAATAGTAGTGCAAGGGTTCCCAAGAAGTCCGTGGGGAGTGGTGGCCCCCTCATTCACTGGTACTTATCTGGTCTCCCTCACAACTGACTGGGCGCCTCCTCTGGGTGTATGAAGCAGAACTCAACTCCCCTGCCCAAACCTGCTCCTCCCTGTGTTCTGTCTTGGTGAGTGGTACCCAAACCAGAGACCAAGGAGTCCTTCATTTAGGAAACCACACGCCAGGATTCTGGCCATGACACTCAAGATTTCTGCATTTGGTGTGTGAATGAGAGGGAGTGTGAGAGCACACAAGATCACTGGGGAGGGTATGGGGTGAAGAGGTGCCCCAAGCTGGACAGACACCAGAGGCTACCCCAGCCAGCTTCCATGTGCTGGAGACCCATCCAGGGGGCAGGTGGACCAGAAGCACAGCAGAGAGGTCAGGGCTGGCGAGGAGGGCAGCGTGTTCCCATCCCCAGCTATCCTCATAGCAGCCAGGGCAGATCTTCTCCCATGCCCGCTGTGGCAAAAATTAAGGTGGATTTGACATTTTCATTTTCTTAAAAAGGCTATCACCAAAACAGAAGACTGAAAACATGAGATAAAAGGGTAATGATTATTAACTCTGGCTGATGGGAATATGGGTGCTAGCCTGGCTCAACTGCTATTGGCTAGACTTTGCTCTAAGACCTGGATTACAACTACAGGCATCACGGTCCTTTCTTCACCTCCTGCCCAGCCAAGAAAAGATGCAAGAAGAGGCCGGGTGTGGTGGCTCACACCTGTAATCTCAGCACTTTGGGAGGCCAAGGTGGGTGGATCACCTGAGATCATGAGTTTGAGACTATCCTGGCCAACATAGTAAAACCCTGTCTCTACTAAAAATACAAAAATTAGCCCGGTGTGGTAGTGGGCACCTGTAATCCCAGCTACTCGGGAGGCTGAGGCAGGAGAATCACTTGAACCCAGGAGGTGGAGGTTGCAGTGAGCCAGGATTGCACCACTAAACTCCAGCCTGGGCAACAGAGTGAGACTCTGTCTCAAAACAAAACAAAACCCCGAAAAGATGCAAGAAGAAAGCATCCAACATCCATTTATCTTGGATACTCTGCAATTTTTCTCCCAGACTTTCCTGTCTTCATGTATGTCATCTCAAATCATATACAACGTAATGACGTAAACCATGTTTATATCCTGTTGGAAAGTGATTTGATGTGTTTTGATTCTCTCTCTAAATGTCAGTTTTTCTTCACAGAGTCAAATTTCTCTGGAATCTTCCATTCTTAGATCTCAAGGTCAGTTACCTGTCTGGGTCCAAGGTGACCAAGCCTAGGAGGAGGGCACTAAGAAAGCTGACCAGACAGCCCCTTGGAGGGCATGTTTGGGGGCATCAGTGACAAAGACACATGCCTAGGAATGGAACCCAACAAACTGCCTTGGTGCTGGTTAGGTTTTATTTTAACAGGATGTTTTCTCTTATTTTTCAAAATATCAGTTATATCAATATTAGAAGTGTAAACAGGTACAAAATATACAGTACATAGAAACAATTTTCTTAACTAGTCTATCGCCTAATAAAAGTATGCATGAGGGGGCTGAATGAATGGGCACTGCCAGGTCCCTCCGTCTGCAGGGGAAACAAGAGGACCAGTGGCTGCTTCAACAAAACAGGAATGGATATTTGTGTGGTAGGAACAGCACTGTGGTCGAATCAAGAAATCTGGGCCCACCTTTATGATGTTAGATGCTGGAATGAACAAGCCACTTGGCCCCCAAACCCAGCCTCGCGAGCTGTGCCCTCTGAGAGTGCACACATTAAGGAGGCTGGGGCACAGGGGAGGCGGCTGCTACAAGCAGAAGTTCCTTTGAGGCCTGGTGACTGGACTCTTGTCGGTGTGGGACAAATATTTTAAGAGGGAAAACCTGGAAATCTCTGTTCACCCACAGTGATGTTCCAGTAGAATGAGGCATCTCGCCTGTTGCTCTTCCCCACTCATGGCACGCCACGTGTACCCACAGTGAGAGGCTGAGGTGTGTCCCCTCTGAGCAGTTTGCACCTCTAAAAAGAAATCCCTGTCCTGCTGCTTCCCAAGGTCACAGTAATGATCAAATGAGATGCATTTTGAAAATAAGAAACTACCACACAAAGTGAACAGGAGACAGAAGCATCTCACGGAGTGGGAGGCAGCCCCAGGTTGGGGTGGGCGGCCAGGCTTTGCTCCCAGCTCTGCTGAGAGCTAGACGTTTGTGGTGCAGCTCCCCAGTTTCAGCTTCTCCATCTCCCCAGACCTAACGCTGGGATTTCAGACAACTCGTCCTTATGAGGCCAGGGAGTCACACACTAGGGGACACCACCAAGTGCCCTTGGGACGGGTACCACAGATGGCCCAAAATAGAGAAAAGTTGGGGCCAGCACTTTTGGGGGGCCTTTTCAGGAGAGGCAAGCTGGGAAATGCAACCGCTACTCCCGGAGGGGTCCTTCCTGCTGCACTGAGGTGTGCTCCAAGGGACCCAATGGCCCTCACTGCCCAGGGGCTTGGTGCGCTAGGCCCACTCAGCCCAACTGGGCAGAGCAGGGGCACACACAGGACCCCATCCCCAGGAGTCAGTGGGCCAGGGGTCCCCAACTGGCCAACCTTCCAACACACTATCAGACTCAGTGAGATAGTGACAGAAATGCACGCCCTGAAAACCAAAAGTACCTACAAAATTTAAATAGCCCTATTACTATTTTCCAGCTTTTTCCTCAAGAATTAAAAAAAAACAAAAAACAAAAAACAAAACAGGTTTGCAATTAAATTACTTAAAATTCTACGGCGCTCCCATTTCACAGAGAATTCTACTTGGTTTAGAGGTGGCAGCTGTCCTGGTGGATAGTTTCTCTTTCTCCAGTGATCATCAGTTCAGCAACTTGGACATTTGGTTCTCCCCGTCCCGCGTCTGCCTGAAGCTTCCACGCCGCCCTGCTGCCTGCACACGGGGCTTTTTACACGTGCGGCCGGCAGGGGCTATGGGGCTGGAGGCGCTCACATGTCCCCGCCATCGGTGGGTCCCAGGACGCTGAGGCCACAAGTCCAGTCGGTCACAAGGTCTGTGGAGGCCAAAGGTCCTTTGGAGGCGGGGCTCTTGAAGGGATCAGGAGGTGCGGGCGGCGTCGGGAGTGGCTGGCCTCGGGCCGGGGTCTTGGCGCCCGCTGCATGGTTGCGCTGGTGCTTGCGGAGGTGGTCCTTGCGGATGAAGCTTTTGCCGCAGACGGTGCAGGTGAAGGGCCGCACGCCCGTGTGCGTTCGGTAGTGGTCGATGAGCTTGGAGCGTTCGGTGAAGCGCTTCTCACACTCGGTGCAGGGGAAGGGCCGCTCGCCGGTGTGCAGCATGCGATGGCGGATGAGGTGCGCGGGGCGCGTGAAGCAACGGCCGCACTCCCCACACCGAAGGGCGCTGCCATCCCGTGCGCTGCCCCCACCGCTGCCGCCACCGCCGCCGCCACTGCCGCTGCCGCCACCGCCTGTGCCCGGGCCCGACCCGTCGGGCGCCCCACAGCTGCGCTGGTGCGCGCTCAGGCTGACTTGCAGCTGGAAGCTCTTCCCACACGTGGCGCAGGTGAAGGGCCGGCCCCCGGGGGGCGCCGCGGGGTGCTTCTTCAGCCCTGGCTTGTGGCCAAAGCCTTTGGTCCGGCCAGGGTATTTACAGGGTTCGTTGAATGG
Organism: Homo sapiens; assembly: GCF_000001405.40. Classification (NCBI taxonomy): domain Eukaryota; kingdom Metazoa; phylum Chordata; class Mammalia; order Primates; family Hominidae; genus Homo; species Homo sapiens. The sequence goes on from NC_000007.14 coordinate 149,475,062, forward strand.
CCTTGGGGCCTGGCTGGGGTCCAAGATGGCCTCTCCGTTGTCCGGGGAGGAGTAAGGAAGCCCCTCGGGCCCCGTCCTCGGGTTCAGGCCCACTGGCGGTTTACACCGGAAATTCCAGCCCCACCGGACCCCTCCGAAGAGCCAGTCCCCAGGAGGGGTCTCCTCCTGGGCCACAGCAGGACTGAGCTCACCCATGTCCCTCTCAGGCCGGGCGGGCTCTCGCAGCCCCAGCACAGGGTCCTGGCTGGGGAAGGAGCTGCCCTGGCTTTCCCAGGCTCCTTCCTGGGCAGGACTAGGGAAGAACCGTGTGGCTTGGCCTGGTCCAAACAGGGTCCCGTGAGCCTCTAGGTCAGTAGGATGTACGGGTGTGGCCACCACCTCCTCTTCCTGGACTTCTGTTTTTATTACAATTTTTACATCTGCTGAGAAAGACAGAAAGACAGATACTGACCTGTCCCTTAACTGCTGAGCGAGCCACGATCTGCCACCATCACCTGCTCAGCAGCTGCCTGGCCAGACAAACTCCACCCAGGCCCTCGTGGCTGAGCCCAGAGGGCAGCTCAGCAGAGCAGCCTGGTGGCTGTGAGGCTGCCTCCCCCTCGAGGACACCAGTGTTCTGGCACCTTCACCACAGGACAAGCCACCATATCTGCTCCCCAGGCTCCATTTTTCAGTTTGGCTGTTAAGGCTAAGCATGAATTGATCCTCAGAAAGGAATTCGAACTGCTGCAGGCACTGTGCCCCACCACAGTGCAGGGAATGGGGGTTCAGACAGCTCGGCCACACACCAGCTGTGGGCTGCAGGCAGTTTCTAACCCACAGCTCATCTGTGAATGCCCACTTCACAGGTGTGAGGATTAAACCAGACAACATGTCTGAAAGCACCTTAGTGAGCTATTTGACATGCAGCAGCATTCAATAAATGGACCCACCAGCTAATGATAAAAATATTAGTGAATAAGAATGTGTTTGGCCAGGCGCGGTGGCTCACGCCTATAATCCCAGCACTTTGGGAGGCCAAGGCGGGGGGATCATGAGGTCAGGAGATTGAGACCATCCTGGCTAACATGGTGAAACGCCGTCTCTACTAAAAATACGAAAAATTAGCTGGGCGTGGTGGCGGGCACCTGTAGTCCCAGCTACTTGGGAGGCTGAGCAGGAGAATGGCGTGAACCCGGAAGGCGGAGCGTGCAGTGAGCAGAGATCGCCCCACTGCACTCCAAGCCTGGGGGACAGAGTGAGACTCCGCCTCAAAAAAAAAAAAAAAAAAAAAAAAAAAAAAGAATGTGTTTGATTTTATATAAGCGTACTTCAACTTCACATTCTGAGGTTTCACATCAGGGATCTTGGCTATTAGCACGTTTTTTGGGTGCTAAAATATGACGTTATTATAGTAACAGGTGACTGGTCTTCAAAACAGAAGTAAACAGAAAGCTAACAGATAAATTTGGTGGTGGTTCTTCTGAAATCGGCCTTCAGACACCTGTCTTTGGTAGTACCAATATCTAAGAAGTGGTTTCAGTTCAATTTTGTTTTCCTCCATGCCAGAGAGAAGCCACAGTTTCCTAAGCTGGGGAGGAGGTATATCCTTCAAGAGATAGGCTTGTTAGAATAGACCACTTAACACCATATGAAAAAGCAACAGACTGAAACATGGATGTCCTCAAGAAGGGCTGCTGACACCTATGATTTGGCAAGGAGATAAATAACAGAATGTGCAAAGGGTCATAAGAGTGCAGACACCCTAATGTCTGTTGGCTGGAAGGTCAGAGCAGTTCACCAGTGAAAATGGGATGCCTGGACCGAGGTACTCCCCACAGGCAAGCATGGCCCTTCCCTTCCTCCTCTCGCCACCTGTACCTTCCGTGGAGGCTGCTGTGTTGAGCTTCAGGGTCCCGTCCGAGCATGCTGAAGAGGGATGGTGGGGAGGGAGATCCGTTTGCCAGGAGGTGGGCGGGATGGTGGTGGAAAAGTTGGAATGGACACCTGCGGTAAGGGGAGAGCAGAGCCGGTGGGTTAGGGGACGGACGGGGAGGACAGAAGACTGTTGGGGAGGAGAGCAGGCTAAACTCTGAGGTCCCCCCACTGGGGGCTTTTCTGAGTGGGCACGAGGACCCAACCTCTCTGAACCCAGTGTCTTTTGTCCCCCTTTCTGAGGCACTGGGAAGCTCAGACATCATCAGTATGTTTCCCACGGGCCCCTCTCGAATAGAGGCAGCCAGTGACTTCAATGCCCAATGCTGGGGCAAGAGAAGCGGCCTCACGGTGATATAGGGGCCACTGGAACAGGGCCAGAGAGACACCCAGGGACAGCATCAGCCACCCGAGAGAGGCTCGAGACAAGTCCTTTAGTACAGTCCTACCTCGAGACGGGAAAATTTCTAAAGTTGTCAGGCCGGAAGTGTTGAGGGCCCACAGCTCCCCCATGCTGCCACGAGCCCTCCCCTGTCCCTCCTGTGATCCCTGCAACTTGTTCCTTATGTCCCCGTCTCAGCCACTTACCAGAGGTGGCATCCGTGGAGATGTCTCCTGCTCCGGAATCCAGCTGGCTGAGGCCCCAGGGCTCCTCCCCAATATCTGGCTGCCCGGCTGCCCACGCCTCCACGCCCAGGGCCTGCTGCTCCTGGAGCTGGAGCTCACCCTCCTGCTTGATCTGCATCAAGAGGTCTGGGGCGGGAACTGGGGGCCCCGAGCCTAGGAAAGGGAGTGAGTGTGAGGATACAGCATCACGGCCCCTCAGCCCTGGGGCATACACGCATCCAGCCGGAGAGATAGACACAGGGGCCTTACAAGGGTCCAACAGCAAAAGAGCCTGGTGGGAAGGGAGGCAGCAGCAAACAGGATGGGAGCCTAGGGCAGAGCCTGAGGTCACATGGTATTGGGAATGCGGGTAGGGTAGGAAAGGCTGAGGCGGGGGAGGGGAAGAATACACAAGCACATTCTCAGGGCTAGGCTGGTGGTCCAGAGGGAGACTAAGTTGCCCTGGGGATGGCCTGCCCTCACTTGAAACACAAGAAATGCTGAACAAAAGTGAACCCCAAGTCCCCCCAAAACCTTCCCCCCTCATATATTTAAGTGAGTGCAAAAGAAAAGATCCCAGAGGCAAGAATGACAGAGAACACACAGAGTCAATCACGAGTTACAGTGGAAGGCAAGTGACCTAGAGAGTTGTTGGAGTAGGATACAGGCCTTAGGGGCTGGGCTTTCATGTCCATGTGAGGTTGGGAGTGTGGCCGAGCCGCCTGCCTGAAGCCAGGAGTCATAGGCTCTGGCCTGTCTGTGAGATGGGGACTAGGAAAACTCTGTCTGCCTGCGGGAGCCACCAGGAAGCAGCCTACTTGTCCAGGGCTATGTGTGGGAAAGAAACCCATAAAAACTTGGAATCCCATGTCCACACAGAATTCACACTACCCACACGGGCAGACACCATAAACTGAGAAATTCACAGAAAAATTGGCTGAGAGCCATGGCAACTCAGGAGGCCCCAGCATGGGCAAATGCAGATCTGCCTCAGAGGGGCACCCACACAATGCAGTCCACAGGGGGCTCCTAAGGGAAAACTAAAACCAGAAGAAAAACTAAAACTTACAAAACAGAAGAGGTGCCAAATGGCCATGAGAGTCATGGCAGAGTTCACTCCCAAGAACTAATGAAAAAAAGGAGAGGCTGAATGATACAGTAACCTAAGTATGTCTAAGATCATCAAAGAGATAAAGAACAGAATCTTTAAGGCAAGAACAGCAAATTATTTTGAAAAAGGCAGATTTGAAAAAGAACTCAACATTCTAGAAACGACAGAGGCAGCTGTGGAAATGAAAAACTCAAATGGATGGCTCTGGCTCAACAACAACAGACTGAACACAGCTAGAGAGAATATTAGTGACTTGGGAGAGAGATCCAGGGAAATAACCCAGAGTACAACACTGAGAGATAAAGAATGAAAAATATGAAAAAGTTAAGAGACCTGGAGGACAGAATGAGAAATTCCAACACATGCTGGTAGAAATCCCAGAAGAAGAGAATGGAGAAATGAGTAATGGCAATAGGTAAAGAAATAATGGTTGAGAATTTTCCAAAACTGAAGGCATTGTTAAGTCCACAGTTTGAAGGAACAGACCAATTCCCAAGTAGGTAATAAAACAAACAAACAAACCTAGACAACATTCATGTGAAATGGAACCACAGCAAAGACAAAGAGAAAAACCTTAAAAGGTACCCAAGAGAAAATAATGACATTCAGACTACAGGAGATTTTCTTCAGCAACTAGGATATCAGAAGACAATGGAATATCTTCAAATGTTGAGAGAAAACATCTGTCAACTCATTTTATGAGGCTAAGACAATTTTTATTGCACAAACTAGAGGGGTAGTATATGAACAAATTTAAAAAATAATCTCATATATGAACAGATATGCAAAGATTCTAAATGAAAGAATTACAAATCAAACTCAGCAATATATTTTCAAAAAAGAAAAAGACATATTATGAACACATTGGGTTTATTCTGAGAGCTCAAGGATAACACTAGAAAATATAACGAACAAAGTTAAGATTAATAGCAAAAACAATATAATCATCTCAACAGATGTAAAAACAGCATTTAGCTCTTCTATTTCTGACATATGGCTGGCTAGATGTGCAGAGAAACAGAAATTCCTCCCAATGTGGAATATCTAAAATTGCTGAGTAGGCTGGGTACAGTGGCTCATGTCTGTAATCTCAGCAGTCTGGGAGGCTGAGGTGGGAGGAGCTCTTGAGCCCAGGAGTTTGAGGCTGCAGTGAGCCATGTTTGTGCCACTACACTTCAGGCTGGGTGACAAGGTGAGACCCTGTTTCAAATAAACAAACAAAAAAAGCCAGCCTAGGCAACATAGAAGACCCTGTCTCCACAGAGGGGAAAAAAAAAAGTTTTTAAAAAAAGTTAGCCAGGCATGGTGGCATCCCCTGTGGTCCCAGCTACTCAGGAGGCCCATTGTGGCCCAAAAACTTCCAGGTCAAGACTGTAGCTTGAAGTGGTCCTAAGTCTGCATTGGCATCAGATGACCAGCTGAGGAACACACACACATTCTCAGGAGGAAAGCATTTTAAACATAGCTTTCAAATAATCAATGAGCTCACAATTACACATCACCATCTCGAGAAAATCAGCACCACAAACTCAGCAGAAATCATGAACTGGAGAATATGACCAATGACTTTGGATATTAAAATTATCATATAAGGAATATAAAGTTCAATTATTTACAGAAATAAAAAGGGGGAATGAAAGTATGGAGAAATAAGACTATCAAAACTGACCAAATTTTGAAAAAGAATCAAATGTAACATTCTTTAGAATGGTGAGAAAAAATAACTGTTGTTTTGTTTGTTTGTTTGTTTGTTTGTTTGAGATGGAGTCTCGCTCTGTTGCCCAGGCTGGAGTGCAGTGGCGCGATCTTGGCTCACTGCAACCTCTGCCTCCCGGGTTCAAGCAATTCTCCTGCCTCAGCCTCCCCAGTAGCACTGGGACTACAGGTGCATGCCTCTAGGCCCAGCTAATTTTTATGTATTTTAGTAGAGATGGAGTTTCACTGTGTTGCCCAGGCTGGTCTTGAACTCCTGAGCTCAGGCAATCTGCCAGCCTCGGCCTCCCCAAGTGCTAGGATTACAGGCGTGAGCTACCGCGCCTGGCTAATAACTGAAATTTTAAAATCCAATGTGTAGGTTAAACAACAGAATGGAAATGATTGAATGGTGAATAGTGAACTAACTAGAAGATAGAAGAAATTATTCCAACCTTAACATAGAGACTGAGCTAAAAATATAAAGAGGGGTTCGAAGTTATAAAGGATAATATGAAAAAGTTCCAGAATAAAAGGTTAGAAAGGGGGCAAGGCAAAATTCAAAGAGGGAAGATAACACATTTTCCCAAATTGGTGAAACATTTCAGTGATTAAAGCAGGATAAAAGAAAATAAATCCACATCTAGACACATTGTATTAAAACTGCAGATCACCCAAGAGACCTAAAAGCAGGGAAAGAAAAAATGCAGATCATCCACAAAGGAATCCTGATTGGACTGATGGCAGATTCTCAATAGCAACAACAAAAGCCAGAAAAAAGGGGCAAATTATCTTCAAAAGCTAAGAGAAAATAACACTCAAGCTAAAATTATGTCTTTCCACTACAGTTGTCCCTTGGTGTCAGTGGGGGATTGGTTCTAGGGCACCCCATGGATACCAAAATCCCACAATACTCAAGTCCCTTGTATAAATTGGTGTAGTATTTGCATATAACCCACACACATCCTCCTGTATACTTTAAATCACCTCTAGATTACTTATAATACCTAATACGACGTAAATGCTATGTAGATAGTTGCTACACTGTATTGTTCAGAGAATAATGACAAGAAAAAAGTCTGTATATGTTTAGTAGACACCTTTTTTCCTGAATATTTCAAATGTGCAGTTACCTGAATCCACAAATGTGGAATACATAAATACAGAGGACTCACTGTATAGGGATGAAATAAAGATATTTTCACACATATAAACACATATAAACTCATATACACACACAAACTGAGGGCTCATTACCATCAGACCCACAAAAAATAACTTCTAAAGGAAGAAAAAATTTCTAAAGATTCCTCTATAACAATAGAAATAGAATACATAACTGTCAAATTAATTTAAAATAACAATAGTTTGAAAAGGAAAATACCTAAATGAATAATTCCCAAAGGAGAGGCAGGAAAAATACAGAAAAGGCAGAACTAAAGATTAACAGCACAATTTAAGATGGTAAAAAGAATCCAAATAAACTAATAACCATAATCAATGTAAATGGTCTAGACCAGAGCTAAGAAGAAAAAAGAATGTGAACCACATATCTAATTTTAAGTACTCTGGTAGTCATGTTAAAAAAGTAAGAACAGGTGAAATAAATGTTAACAGTACATTTTATTTAGCCCAAGATATAAAAAATGTTACTTCAACGTATAATCAATATAAAATGATTTATATTATTTTATACATGCATATTTTGTACTCACGGCTTGTTTTTGTACACGGTTTTTGAAATACGGTATGTATTTTATCCTTACAGCACATTTCAAGTGCTCAGTAGCTACAGGTGGATAGTGGCTACTGTTTGGATATTTAAAAGGTAAAGGTAAAGATTTTCAGACTAAAACCAAACAAATCCCCCAGCTATCTGCTGTTTACAAGAGACATACCTAAACAGAAGGACGCAGAAAGCAATGTAAAAGAATGAAAGATGTACTAAGCCAGAACAATGTAAAGAAATGATGTAGCTATACCATATCACATGAAATAAACTTTGAAAGTAAAAATATTCATAGAAATAAAAAGAATTACTGCATAATAGTAAACTAACCAGGAAGATAAAGTAATTCTAAGGTTTTTTTTTTTTTTTGAGATGGAGCCTTGCTCTGCTGCACTGGCTGGAGTGCAATGGTGCAATCTCGGCTCACTACAACCTCCACTTGCCAGGTTAAAGCAGTTCTCCTGCCTCAGCCTCCCGAGTAGCTGGGATTACAGATGTGTGCCACCACGCCTGGCTATTTTTTATATCTTTAGTAGAGACAGAGTTTTACCATGTTGGCCAGGCTGGCCTCAAACTCCTGACCTCAGGTGATCCACTCGTCTCAGCCTCCCAAAGTGTTAGGATTACAGGCGTGAGCCACTACACCCAGCCAATAACTCTAATTTTTTAAGCTTATCATATAGCTTCAAAATAATAAAGCAAAACTGATAAAACTCTAGGGAGAAATGAACAAATCCATCTTTACAGTAGGGGATTTTGATATATCTCTCTGTAATTGATAAATCTAGCCAACTAAAGGTTATATAAAATTTGAGCAACTCTACTAACAAACCTGATTAAAGGGACCTAAGCAGATTCCAAACACAGAGAAAACACAAGCTTTTTAAGCTACAGAGCGTTAAGGAAAAATGAACACTTTCTAGGTCATAAAACAGACTTCAGCAAAATTTAAACGACTAGTATTTTACACACTGCATTTTCTAGCTACAACACAATTAAGTTTGAAATCAATAACTCCCATACATACTAAAATTTTAAAATATACCGCTTTCTAAATAATCTGAGTCTAAGAAAAAAATCACAATGAAAATTAGAAGGTATCTGGAACCCAATATTAATGAAAATATTATCTATCAAAATGTATGGGCTACAGCTACAATGGTACTTAGAGGAAATTTTATAGCCTTGTATGTTTATATTAAAAAAGATAACACAGGGGCTGGGCGCAGTGGCTCACACCTGTAATCCTAGCACTTTGGGAAGCTGAGGTGGATCACGAGGTCAGGAGATCGAGATGATCCTGGCCAACATGGTGAAACCCCATCCCTACTAAAAATACAAAAATTAGCTGGGTGTGGTGGCATGTGCCTGTAGTCCCAGCTACTCGGGAGGCTGAGGCAGGAGAATGGCTTGAACCCGGCAAGTGGAGATTGCAGTAAGCCAAGATCGCGCCACTGTACTCCAGCCTGGCGACAGAGCGAGACTCCGTGTAAAAAAATAAAAAAAAAAACAAAAACACAGGTCAAAAATTAATGGGTTAAGCGTCAATGCAAGACATTAGAAAATAAATAACATTTAAGAACCTTTTCAAAAGTAGAAGGAAATAATACATATAAGAGTATCATAAATTAATAAAAGAGAAGACAAAGATAGAATATAGTTAGTCAAAGTTGGTTATTTGAAGAGACTGTTAAACCAATTCACCTCTAGCAAGGTTATCAAGAGAATGGGAGAGACAGCACCAATAACCAATTGGAAGAATGAAAAAGGGAACATAATGATAAATGCAGCAGAGATTTAAAAGATATAGAGGATATTATGAATGTTATTCCAAGTAATTTGAAAACTCTGGGGAAATGGACAAATTCCTAGGAAAATTTCAACCTGCCAAAACTAAAGAAGAAATAGAAAACCTGAATAGTCCTGTAACTAAAATAAATTACATCGGTAGTAAAAAATCTTCCCCACAAAGAAAACTTAAGGCTCAGGTGGCCCCACTGGTGTTTTCTACTAAATGTTGAAGGAATAGATAATTCCAACATTACAAAAACTCTCTGAAAATTAAAAACAGAATGAATACATCATAGCTCATATTTTTAATACCGAAACCAGACAAAAACAGTCTGAGAAAAGAAAATTACAAGCCCATCTCATCCATGAACAAAGATTCAAAAATCCTAAACAAAATAATTAGCATACAGCAATGTTCATAAAGGATCATGACAAAGTTAGGTTTATTCCAAGACTGCAAGGTTGGTTCAACATTAGAAAGTAACATAATTTACCTTACTAGCAGGTTAAGGAGAAAAAAATGTATAATCATCTCAATGGATACCAAAAGAAATTATATAAAATTCAAGTCATTACTGTTAGAAACACCTAGCCAAACACAGACATAGGAAACTTCTTTAGCCAGATAAAGGATATTTGTAAACAAAATCTTTAGCAAATATTATACTCAATGTGAAAAGTTAAAAAGTGTCCTCTTTAAAATCATGAACCAATAGGACACCTGTTATCATCATTTCTATTTAAGGATTTTCTGGGAGTTCTCAGTCAACACAATAAAACAAGAAAAAAAACCCATAAATATTTAAAAAGAAAAAAATTATTACTCATAGATATGATTAACTTTTCAGAAAAACTGAGAATGATTAGACAATTAATAGAAAGGTTATTAGCATTAATGAAAATTTTAGTAGGGTTCCTAGATCGTTATCAATAAATGAAAGACAACTACATTTTTATATATTAATACTGTGAGGTTTTTGAGAAAGCCTATCAGTTACAATTTTTCTTCCTTATCAAGGGTCTTAACAAACACAGAAAGAAAACAAAAGAGGAAGACAGGTGAGGCTAATCTATTTTTATTACTGATAATTCAGGGCATAATTCTGCATAAAGGGCAGGGACATTGGAATGCGCTCTTGTGATAGGAGAAAAAGCATTTGAAGAGGGGTATTCTCTGCCCTCAAGTCCCCAACAGCAACAAACAGAAAATGCAAGTTAAAAAAAGATACCACTGACAAAAGTGATTTAAAAAAAAAAAAAAAAGAACCTAGGAATAGATCTAACAAAATATGTGCAAGACCTTAATATAAAACTTCATTGCGACACTATAGACAAACCAAATGGAGTGACTTAGGACATTCACAGATAACATGACTGAATATAGTAAAAGTGTCAATTCTCTCCAAAATGTTAATAGATGGAATGCAATTGCAACCATAACCCCAACTGGAATTTTTCATGGAACTTGATAAGGCAGTTTGAGGGGCTATCTGAAAGAGCAAAGGAAAAGAAGAACCAAAGTGCAGTGAAAAAGAAGCAGGGTCTCCACCTCATAGCACCACAAAAGTCCATTTCTGAAGGATGAAGAACTTGAACATGAAAGACGAACTCTGAAAACCTTTAGTAGGAAATATGAGAAGGTGCACTGGTGTACTACAACATTGAAGAACGTAAACATTTCTTAATTGCTTAAGACACAAAAAGGACAAACCATAAAGGAAAGACTAGTAAATCCAAGTACATTAAAATGAAAAGCATCTGTTCTTTAAAATATACCACAAATGGAGAAGATAACGGCAACACACATAGTTGACAAAAAGGTTAATATTTAGAATACGTAAAGAACACTAACAGGCCAGGCACAGTGGTTCACGCCTGTAATCCCAGCACTTTGGGAGGCCGAGGCAGCAGATCACTTGAGGTCAGGAGTTTGAGACCAGTCTGGCCAACATGGTGAAACACTGTCTCTACTAAAAATACAAAAATTAGCTGGGCGTGGTGGTGCACACCTGTAGTCCCAGCTACTTGGGAGGCTGAGTTAGGAGAATTACTTGAACCCAGGAGGCGGAGGTTGCAGTGAGCCAAGATTGCACCACTGCACTCTAGCCTGAGCAACAGAGCAAGACTCTGTCAACAAAAAACAACTTAAAAAAATGCAAAGAAGACATAAACACGCATTTCACAGAAGAGGAAGGACAAACGGCTCACCAGTAGAGGATGTAATGTTCAATCTTATTAATTAGGAAAATCCAAGTTTTAAACCATAAATTTTAAACCATTTCACTCCCACCAAACGGGCAGAAATAAAAACAGCATTTCCCAGGGTGGTGAGGATGAGGTGTGATTGGAACCCCCAGGCCCTCCTGGGAATACCAGTTGGTATCCCCACTTGACATCACCTGGAAAAATTTGAATACATGTCTTTTCTTTCCTATGACCCAGCAGTTCCGCTCCTGGATCTACACCTACAGAAGCTTTTACATATGCATAAGAATGTTCACACCAGCAAAAAAAAAAAAAAGAAAAGAAAAGAGACAACACAAGCACCCACCAACAGTAGAAGGAATAAATACATTGTATTATGGTCACAAAATACAAAACTGTAAAGTGGTGAAAATCATGAAAATGAATGAGCTACAGCTATACTACATTAACATGGATGGCTCTCAAAAACATAACGGCAAATGAGAAAAGCAGGTTAAGGAAGAACATATGTGGTATGATTCCATTTACAAAAAGTTCCAAAGCAGATAAAACTAAATGTGTTACTTAGGATACATACTGAGGGAATAAAAATGTAAAGAAAGGCAAGGGACTCTATTTCTGAATTTTCAGTTTATGTATACTATAAGAGGAAGGAAGGGGTGTGATCAGGGGAGGACGGGGGTCCAAGAGGTTCAAGCTGTGGTCTCTCTCATGCTGGGTGTTGGGAATATGGGGTTTACTACTAATCTCTAAATGTCACACGAATTTTGTTCTGTATGTATTTTGTTTGTTATGTATAATACACAGTAACAATGTTGTAAAACAGGGGTCCCCATGCCCCGGGGAACCTGGACTGCACAGCAGGGGGTGGGTGGAAGACGAGCAAGTGAAGCTTCATCTGTAATTACAGCCACTCCCTGTCGCTGGCATTACTGACTGAGCTACGCCTCCTGCCAGATCAGTGGTGGCATTAGAGTCTAACAGCAGCGCGAACCCTATTGTGAACTGTGCATGCGAGGGGTCTGGGTCACACTCCCTTCTTATGAGATGGAACAGTTTCATCCCCAAACCATGCTCCCGGTCCCCCATTGGTGGAAAAATTGTCTTCCATGAAACTGGTCCCTGGTGCCAAAAAGGTTCCGGACTGCTATTTTAAAAGAAACAAAACACAATATTTTTAAAAAGGAGAAAAACAGCATTTGATACAATATAACACTTGTTCACAATAAAAACTTTTGGGTAGCATGGTTAGAAGGAAATGTCTTTAACAATATTTTCAAAAGCCAAAGGCAAAAATCATACTTAAGGCTGAAACTCTAGAAATGTATCTTGTCCACAGACAGGATGCTACTATCACTGCTGCTATTCAACGATGTCCTAGTCAAACTGCTAAATAAGAAAAATAAAGTTACAAAAAGTTAAAAAACAGACACAATCTTTGTGTGATTTGTAGAGGATATAATTATCTACATAAAAAATCCAAGAGAATATAAAGAAACAAACCATTAGACATGAGAGCAAGATTTTTTTTAATAAACAAAAGTCAACAGCATACCTGTACACCTGAAATAACTAATACATCTAATAAACTGTAAAAATCCCATTTATAATGAAAAACAACTATCAGAAGAAAACTGTAAAATCTTATTCAAGCACATAGAAGCCTTCAATAAATGAGTGTTCCAATGAGTAGAAAGGCTAATGTTGTCATGAGAGCAATTCTCCAGAAATTAGACTGTAAAGTCAATGCAATTCCAATCAAATTTCCAACAGGATTTTCTTAGGAACTTGACATACAGATCCCAAAATTCATATAAAAGAACAAATATCCAAGAATAGCCAAGACAGTTTTTTGAAGAACAAGCAGAGAAGGATTAGTCTACTAGATATCAAGGCTTATTATGAAGCTAAAAGAGCAAGCTGTTGGTGCAGAGACTGACAAAGAGACCAATGACACAGAAGCAAGCACCCAGAAACAGACTTGTGCACATGCAGAAACCAGCTCAGGACAGAATCGCATCACAAATCAGTGGAGAAAAGCTAACACATTCAGCAAACTTTGTTGGAAAATGAGACCATCGTTGTGGGAGAAAAAACTGAAACCCTCCCTTGCAAGCTACACAAATTTTAATTCTAGATAAATTAAAGACTTAAATTTGAAAAGCAAAACTTTTAAAAATTTATAAAAAAAATAGAGAAGAGTATCTTTCTGACCTTGAGTGAGGTAAGCAAGGATATCTCACTACAGAAAAAGCACAGATCATAAAGGAAAAGACTGACATGTTTGACTCTTTCAACAGTGAAAACTTCCATACAAGAACTACAACGTTAAAGACCTGCCACCGACACGGAGAAAATGTTTGTAACACAAATAATAGACAAAGGATTTGTATCTAGAACACATACAAAGAAGCCCTGAATCAAGAAGAAAATGAAGAATATCTCAATAGAAAAACAGAAGACAACTCACTGGAGAAGCAGCCAAATAATCGTATAAAAAGGGCGTGCAACTTAAGGGGGAAAATACAAGTTGAAACGAGAGGCCATCTCACCCCCATCAGGTCGGCAAAAATGTAATTATGGAAACTGGGCAGACGTTAGGAAGCAAGTTCTAGGAGCACCCGCTGGCACTGGGTACCCCTGGGGAGGGCCATACAGTAACGGAAGAGATGAAATCAAGCCTACGACGTGGTGAGGCCACCGCTGGGTCTACTCCCTGGAGCAGCATCCCCACAGGGCCACAAAAAAACAGGCGCAAGAACGCTCACTACAGTATTGCTTGTGAGAGTGAACAATCAGAAAAAGCTTAAGTGCCAATCAGTGGAGGAATGGAAAATAAGTTACAATATAGTTGCTTCTGGAATATTAAGCATCTGTTAAAAGGAATGAACTTGATCTACATGTATCAACATGGATAAGTCTGAAATACAGAATAATGAGTGATAAATATAATGACATCTATGTAATTTTTCAGAACACAAAAAACCGTATTATATATTGTTTACAGCTACCAAAGTACACAGCAGACGTTTTAAAATGTGGATAGAAAGAATAAACAGAAAATTCCTAGGGAGGCCTGGGAGACCTAAAAAGGAATTTAAATGCTATCAGAAATACATTATTTCACACACACACACACACACACACACACACACACACACACACGTTTTAAATTTTGAAACAGCATACATTCAGCAAATAGTTATTGAATTCCTACTCTGTACTAGGCAATACTCTAGGTTCCTAAAATGATTAAACAGGTAAAAATTTTTATACTTTTGAAATTGACATTCTAATGGAGGAGACCTGACATACGATGAATCTATAAATAGGAAACATATATATTATGTGACACTGTCTAACACGGAAGACCCAAAGCAGGAAAGTAGGCCTGGAGTCCTGGGTGGGGAGGGCCTGCAGTGCCGATGACACGAAAGGCCTGCAGGTGGGACCTGCCTGAGGAGGATTCCCAGTAGAGGGCACTGCGAAGGCCCTGGCACAGGGCGGAGGGAACAGCACCAGGGAACAGCACTCTGCAGCTGGGCAGAGTGAGAGAAAAGTGGAGGTGGTGAGCTGACGGTGCGGGTCAGATGGAAAGCCAGGACTTGGGTCTAAAAGGGATTACTCTGCTGGGCTGAGGCAAGACTGGGGGATCAGGGCAGGAGGAGAGGGGCTGGCAGGAGATGACGGGCCTACGTGGCAGAGTAGAGGGGACAAGGCCAAGTAAGAAGACAGACCATTCAGGACCACGGAGGGCCCTGGTAACCGAGGTTGGAGAGGTTTTGGTGGAAGGGGTAACAGAGTGGGGGGGAAGGTGCAGGAGACAGCAAGCGCAGATGTCCCCAAGGGCTCTGCCACAAAGGGGAACAGACAAGCGGGCAGTGGCTGCCGGGGTAGAGGTCAAGGCAGGATTGCTTGTATTGCCCTTGAGAAGATGGCATGAGGTGGGATCTGGTGCCAGATCGAAGTGGGGCTTTGGCTGGAGGGTTGACAGTTTAGCAGTCACAGAAGTGAAGGCAGAGAAGGGGGCACTGGTGCAGGCAGATGGCGTGGAGAGGGCTGTGTGAGTGGTGCGTTTCTCTTTTAAAAAACGGGTTAAAATATAAAACTGTTCTCAGCTGTGCACCATACAGAAACAGATGAGCTAGGTTTGGCCCTCAGCCACAGTTTGCTGGCCCCTGGGCTAAGGAGACACGGTGTGACTGTGTGGCAGAGCGCCCACTGAAGTCGCTGGTCATGAATGTCACGTGACACCAGCAGCCAGCTTACCTGGTTCTCTGCAGCCACGTGCAGCTGCTTGGCTGCAGGTGCAGAACACCGATGGATTTCACTAAGTGGATACAATGAACAAAACAGGGGCAAGAGTGCTGAGGGTGTGTGTAAGGGGGGACCACAATGGTGGGCATGGAGGGAAATGAGGATGAGTCAGGGCAGTGAAAAGGCAGCAGGGTCGATGGCTTGCAGGTCTTGAAGGACTGGAAAACTGCTGGAATCAGGACACCAGACGGAATTGAAGGGACGGCAGGAGGCGGCCAGGGAGTGGTGTGCTGGAGATGGAGATGGTGGGTATGGTAAAGTCACTGTCGTCACAGTCACGGATGGCTGTGGGATGGGTTGGGGGGGCACAGGACAATCAACAAGGAGGCTGCCATGGCCAAGACTGAGGGCAGGAAGAGTGTTGAGAAGAGAGGGAAGGTCTGCAGAAGTAGCAAAAAGACAAGGCCTGGGACCCAAAGGCAAGGTCTCTAGAGAGGGATTGAGGCTGGCAGAGGCACAATCTGAGGGGTGAGGACCCTGTCCCAGTGGGCCTGGGCTCAAGACAGAGGCAGGGAAGAGGATGACAAGCACTCAGAGGGCTGCAGTCCCCTGGAGCTCAGTCCGAGCAGGGAACACTCAGGACCTGGCGGGTCTGCTGAGCCCTGAGTCCCACAAGGCTCAGTGGAGGGATGTGCAGGAGGTGAGGAGAAGGGGAGGTGAGGTCTCACAAGGGGATGGGTCAGGCCAAATGTGGCAAGGGATGAGCTGGGAGTCCTGGCTTCTCAGACAAAGGGGACAGGGATAAACGCCACACAGATCCCTGCCAACAGGCTCAGGATGGACAGTGGAGTTTGTGTCTACTCATCTTGTCTACTGGTGGGTAGAGGCCACGGATGCTGCTGAACATCATACGGTGCAGCTAGAGAGTGTTACAGGGTCTTACCAGCAACCAGCGTATTTCCAGCCCCTCTTTACTCTCATTGAATGATGCTGTGGAAGTGAGGGAAGCCTCCACACATGGTGTAAATACAACGAAACCCACCCACCCAGAACCTCCCACCCAGGCTAGGAAGCTGGGGACGCGCACGGGTTGTAACCCTCTTTTCCAGCCCAATAGTATCTGTTCTCAGCCATCTTTCTGTCCTCTAGTGTTCAGCACTGTCCTTGACGCCTAGAAGATTCTTAAAAATGCATCTGTAGAGCTAAACTGTCAATGTCCCGATGACGACTGGCAAAGCGGCCAGCCCGGAACATGCTTCTGCCCTTAGGAAAGTGCAAATCTGACTGAGATGAGATGACGAACATGGGGGATGCATTTAATTTCACACAAGTGGCGCACAGGAGGGCCTCTGCGGACCACCACCTTTCTCAGTGTCAGACGAAAGGGAAAACCAAGGCAGGTGGGACGGTCAAGGGCGGGTCTTCTGGAGGAATCAGGGGTCGAGCCTTGCAGAGATGTGGTCTCCCTAGTCAAATGACCCAGCAGGTCTTCACTTTAGGAATTTGGTTTTTCTCCTGTGTCCACCTGTCCTTCCCTTAACTTTCAAAGGTGCTGACTGGCTCCAGGGAAATCTGAGACGCTGATATCTGGTAACAAGATTCACCTTAAATAAATGTGTGCTTCTAATAATACCAAACCATAAGGCTGACCAATGTAGACCAAAGTAGCTCTACAACTGCTACTGGTTTAAATTAAGGTTGGTTCTTGGAGGCAAGGCTGACTCTTTGCAAAGCTTTGGATTAATTTTGTTGTCAATATACAGCTGACCTTGAACAACATGGGTTTGAACTATGCAGGCCCACTTATAAATGGATTTTCTTCTGCTTCTGTCACCCCTGAGACAGCTAGACCAACCACTCCTCTTTCTCCTCAGCCTACTCAATCTGAAGAAGACAATGAGGAGGATGACCTTTATGATGCTCCACTTCCACTTAATGAGTAATAAATATATTTTCTCTTCCTTATGATTTTCCTAGTAACATTTTCTTTTCCCTAGCTTATTGTAAGTATCACTATGTAACACACAGAACATACAAAATATGTGTTATTGACTGTTCATAGTATCAATAAGGCTTCTGGTTAATAGGAGACTACTAGCAGTTAACTTTTTAGAGAGTCAAAAGTTATACATAGATTTTTGGCTGCGTGGGACTGGGGGCTGGTGCCCCTGGCCCCTGCGTTAAGGGTCAACTATGCTCCTGCCTTCCCTCTCAGCGTTCTCCTCTCCCTCCCCTCAACCTGTGCCCTGCCTTTGTCTCTTCCTAAAAGATTAGGTTTGCCACCTGTTTCCCTGACAGAAAGTGTTCATTTCTGGAGCATTAGCTGACTAAGTTAGAGATTAAAACTCAACTATAAAAAACTCAAGACATAAAACCTGTAAGTTTCATGTTTCTCCTCGACTCTCTCTGGAAAGATCACACCCTTTCTGGCCTTTCCGTCTCTGTTTCCTGCACAATACCTGATGCCTCCCTGGCCTTCTCCCAGCCCTTACCTGGACTGGGGTCCACAGGAACATCTGGAATCTTGGGGCCAGGGCGGCGCCAGTTGCAGGGCTCCTTCCCTTGTTCAATCTGGGAGAGGACCTCGGGCTTGGAGATGGCGTAGTCTGAGGAAAGACAGAAGGTTAGTTTTTGCCACGTTCCAGTCAAAGCTGGGGACAGTCATCCCGGAAAACCAACAATGGTCTAGAAATGAAATCTCTTGATTGTCACAAAGCAGTAGCTCTCAACCACAGGCAATTTTGCTCCCTGGGGGCATCTGGCAAAGTCTGGAGACAATTCTGGTTGTCATGCCCAGGGCTGGGGGAGAGGTGACTGGCATCTGGAGATGCCCTGAGAGGCCAGGGCTGCTGCTCAACATCCTACAATGCAGAGGATGCCGCCGACACACAGAATCACCTGGTCCCAAATGTCCACAGTGCCGGGGTGAAGAAACTGCCACAGAGCGTGCACGTTAAACAGCAGTGCACTTGTGCTGACGAAACAACCTCACGTCTGCACCTGCTCCTGCCCTCTCTAACAGGTCTCACTGCCCTCGGCTCCGGGGTCACACAGAAACCATTAGGAAGAGAAAACCAGCCCAGGAAGAAACAGAGTCCAGGCCCTTCCTGGGCAGGATTAAACAAGGAGAAGAGCAGTAGCCCCAGGGGCTGAGGGAAGCAAAGTTTTGAGGCATGAAGAAAATGTCTGCTGCAAGCAGCACCGTCTGCCCATGTTCTCCACTGACCTCGAGGCATGTTGCCGTAAGGGCCACGCATGTTTGTAGGAGAAGGCTGAAGGAAAGAGTCTTTCTCAAATGTGAGTCAATTACATACTGGATCTGAGAGCAGATGGGGCCTTCCCCGCTCCAAGTCAGCAAGAACAGAAAGGTCCACATCCCGGGCCTGCGTAGGAGAGAAGCCACCGCCGTTCCCAGACTGGCATTCTGGGAAACTCAACACAGGGAGAAGGGAGCTTTTAACTCCATCACCCAGGGCTCATCCTTCACAAAAGGTAACAACTTGCAAGGTCAACAATGTTTCTGGTGATTTATATAACACTGACATGAAAACAACTATGTGGAGGGAGAATTCTGAGGACTTGCAAAATCCCATTTAACAGAGAAATGAGTGTCAGGCCTTACCCAGGGAGACCAGCGTCTCGTAGTTGCCCCTCATCACGTGCTTGTAGAGCTCCTTCTGCCAGTCCTCCAGCTTGCCCCACTCCTGCTCGGAGAAATACACGGCCACATCATCAAAGGTCACGGGCACCTGGAACCACAAGTGTCACACTCGCTCACCCACACGCTCACGGGTTTGGCCGCTTGGGCTCCCACACCCCAAGGCGTCCCAGGGCTACCTTAGGGGACTCCCCCTTGCTGCCCGGGGGCAGCCGCAGGATCCAGAAGTTCCTGTTGCGCAGCAGGTTCTCCACGTTCTCCAGCCGCCTCTGCAGCAGCCCGTACTCCTGCAGCAGGGTCCCCAGCACGGCCCACTTGCCCTCCAGCTGGTTCCCGAACTCCACGGCTGTCTTCTCGCAATCAGCCAGCTTCTTCTCGGCCATCCCGGTTCGACCTTCTAGGGAAAGCAGGCGAGCAGCCTGCGATTCAATCTTCCTCTCCATGGCCTGAATCGTGGCTGCCATCGTCCACGGAGAAATCTTTCAGAAACAAAAGAGAAACTGGCATCACTCATTCCATCCACTGTCTTCATTGAGCCCCTCTCTCCCTAGGCACGGGGGAGTTGGGCTGGGAGTCCATATGTGTGGACAAGTGGGGCTATCCTATACCACATGCCAGATCTCAGGTTGGCCATCACCTGCTTGGGTATGTTAGGTCTATGTCTGGGTGGGTGCCTTTACTCCAGGCCTCTGCAGCACAATGCAGACCCTTATCACGGTGCTTATCACCCTACACAATAATTTCCTACCCACACCTACACTGTGGGCTCCCTGAACATGGTATTGCATCTTTTCATACCACTGTCCTTGACACATGGCAGGTACCCAGTGCAATTTTGTTACGTAAACAGTGACTTAGCATTGCTGGGCATTTTAGTGGAGAAATGGTAAACTGCAGATTTACTAGAGCGCAGCCTGCACCTCCCCTCATGATTACACAGGAACTGTCTACTGATGATGACCCAGCAAAAAAAACAGCTGGTTCACTGAAACGGCACAAACAAGAGTATTGCTCAATTTCTTTTTTCTTTTTTTGTTTTTTAAAGCATCTCATGTCCCCTTTTAACAAACATAAAAATCTAATGGCCAGTTCCTCTTCCCCCAGGACAGTCTCATTTTGTCACCTTCCCATCTGCCCCTCCCCCACAAGCTAAAATCCCCATGACTGCAAATCTCCATCAGTCCAGAGTTAGGCTTTTTGACACTGCCTGAGCCCTACAAGATTCTTTCTCTTTCCCAATTCCCACCCCCTCAAGGTAAAAATGACGGCCTCCGACATTTTTGTAGCTGTACCAGGAGCAGTGACATACCCTGCAGTCTGGTGAGGAAAGTACATATATGCCACAGTTAGACTTGTATATGGACAGCAACCATCTTAATTAGAGACGGGGGCCTTCCCTGTCATTGGAAATGTTCACATGGCGTATCAGTGACCGGCAGCTGGGACAAGGAAGAATGGGCACATTTTGCGGTGGGTAGGGAGCTGGACTGTTTGAGCCACCCACATCTGAATGTGGGACCTACAGGGCACAGAGGAGCTCCTGGTATCGGGACCTGAGGATCAACGCCTCCTTACAACATTCTGCAAAATAATTCCTCAACAAAAGGTTGGTGATTATTTCCAAAATGAAGAAGTAGCTACTAGAAACCAGTGTGGATTCACTTAGAGAAAGTCACTGAGAACTAGAATGCGGATGGACAGCTCAAAAAATAGAGACAAAAGGAGAGTTTGAGCAGAGGGAGAAACAAACTTGTCTAGGACAGTGCTTAAGATACTATCTATTTGGAAGGAAGCAGGACCCAAAGAAGGTAGGACTCTAAGGGGTCTTCAAGGCTGGGAGATTCTGGACAAGCTGAACTGTTTCTAGGCGAAAACCCCAATGCGGGTGGGAGTCTTGCTCTCAAGGAGTAGGTGGTCCTACAGCACCTGGGTGGGCCAGCGTGGTTCTGGGCTTGAGTCCACCCTCCACCTAAGGCCACTGTTCCTTCCCTCACCTCTCCTTTCTCAGATCAATCCCTGTCACGTGATCCCAGACGCCAAGAGTTTACTCCAGAAGCTTCCTTTCAACTGGTCACCAGCTCCTTATCCACTGAAATCCTACCCATCCTCCACGTGCATTATTATGGGCTTTGTGTGGCATGAAAGGGACCTCTGCTAAACTACTTTATTAAGAAAATATTAGTCTTTTACTCATGGACAACAAGGTGCATGGTTTTCTTACAGTTCTGATGGGGCCAGGAAACCCTGTGTAAGGTCTTCACACTATGTGGTGGGAGGTGGCGACTGTGCGCTGCTCACTCCAGCCCAGCTTCTTACTGACAAGTGGCTGGAATATGTGGGGCTGTCCTTGGACTCCTGCCAGGGGAGCTGAAACTCTTTGCTTGAGAGGAGCTGATGGTAAGAGGAGCCGGATCCCTCATCCACTGCCCACCCGCAGGATGAAGTCCAGGCATGCAAACCCCTTCTTAGTCTCTCTCTGCAGACTCCTTTCCCACTGCCTCCAAACCAAAACCATCTTCTCCAGGCTCATGGACTCCTTTCTGTGCCTGCACACGCCCTGCACTGTCCCGTCTCTCTGCGCCTTTGCCCAGGCACTCCTCCCTCCCTGAAAGCACCACCGGTCTAGCTGGGCCTGAAATCCTAGCCTTCCCTAAAAGCCCGGCTCAAATCACAGAGGCGCAGAGCATCAGGCCAGGAGGGGTGGACAGCGGTACCAAGAGGCCCCCTGACACTCCTTCCCCCGGAGCCCACCGCAAGCTTCCACCTGGGCGCCAGCACTCACCCCTTTCTGTTTTGCACGATTATTGCCCGCGTACCTGCCTGCCTGGTCCTTGAACACACAGCCACTGTGTGTCTTTTCACACTTTCCAGCTGGGTAAGCCTGGGCAAGTTAAGTTCTCTAGGCCCCGGGTTTTTCTTTTGTATGACAGAGATTAACACCAGTACCCATCCCACAGGCTTGCTGTGAGGACAGACTAACGCCTCAACAGGGCTTGTGGAAGTGCGTGGCTCTATATTCCCTTCCGCGCCGACCCCGGGAAGCTGGGCACGTAGTGGGAGTCGGTGTATGCGGATTCGAAGCCGGACACCTCCCAGGTGCCACCAGGCCGCTGCGGGGGAGATGGAGAGGGACCTACAGGCCGAGCGCCAGGCAGAGAAAGGAGCCGCGGGTGGGGGGGCACCCAGAAGGAGGGGACAGCGGCTGGGGCGGGGGCAGGAAGCCCCGGAGGGCCCAAAGAACTTGGCGTGGGGCGGCCCGGGGCGGGGACAACCGTTCCGCCAGCGCTCGGGTTCGGCTCGGAGTGGGGGCCCGGCCGACGGGCGCAGTAGGCCCCGGCGGACCCCGCGCCCCATTCGCGGGAGCCCCAGGCCCGGTGGTCCGGCCCGGACCCCGGAACCCCTCCCCAGGGCCTGCGGCGCCGTGTGCCGGGGCCGGGCCGCCTGGGGCCCCCAGGCCGCGAGTCCCTGCGCGCGCGGGTCGCCCTTACCGGAGCCGCGACCGCCTCGGCCATGGCCCTGCGCTGTCCCGCCCGGCCCGGAGGAAGTCGTCGTCGCCGCCGCCGCGCGCGGCACCACGCAGGCCCGGCCGCCCGGTGCTCTCCGCAGGCGGCGCCTGCCTGGCCTTTCCTCTGCCGCCGCTCCTCGCTGGCTGCCCCTGCGCCGCGCCGCCCGCAGTCGCGCCGCCTCCGTCAGCGCCCGGCCGGTCCACACTGCATCCTGGGAGCCGGCGCCGCGGCCCGGCAGACGAAGGCCCGTGAGGCTTCCTGGAGGCAGCGCGGCCGCACAGCCCCACCTGCAGCCTGAGAGGCGAACGGCAGGCGCTGCGCCCGCCTGCCCGCGGCCCCGCCCCGCCCCGCCCAGCCCCGCCCGCGGGGCCCGACGGGAGGACCTAGCGACCCCGGGCCGACCCCGCGACCCCGCGACCCCGCGACCCCGGCCGGACTGCCGAGCGCGGGGGGAGTCACTGCGCTGGCCCCGCGGCCCAGCCCGAGGACTCGGTTATTGAAAGGGTCCCCCTCATGGGACCCGCCTGGCCGCGCCCGCGGGCGAGCACGGGCTTCCGGGCAGGGCGTCCCCCGGGTGACCGCGGCCAGGGCGGCCCCCTCGCCCTGGGATGCCCGGCTCCCCTTCCCCCGCCCCACGGGCACTTCTGCTGCCCGAGGTCCTGGGTCTGGAGGTTTAGGCTATTTTGGGGAGGACAGATGTAACTCATGCCCACCTGTGTTTGAAATGGAATAAATACTTCCAACAACAGGAATATAGTTCGGTAAACCCCGGTAGGCAACCACTTAGCATTTTCTGTAATGGGTTTATTACAGTAAATTTTTTTAATGGCATGAGCAATGGGACGCAATACCATCATTTAAAATGATTTCGGTGAAGGTCTTGGTAGGAACAGATGTTCATGATGTTTTAAGAGAAAAAGCCTGTCCAGGACGATCCTGTCTTTGTTTTAAAAATAACATTTTAAAACAATATAGGACATATGTAGCGTCATATACTGCGTACATGTATAATTACAGTTTTGAAAAGTTTGGAAGCATATATATCAACATGGCCTCAGTAGTTCTATTAAAGGTCTATTCCTTTAATAGACCACGGGCCGTTTTTATGCCTTTTCTAATTTTTTCCAATTCATGTTTTTATTTTTCCATGACAAGGATAGTATTTTTAAACAAGGAGAGAAAAATAAAAATTTAAATGTTCTCAAAGAGGCCAACCAGAGCAGGGGAAGGAGGGCGCCTTGGACGGGCCCCCACGTAGTTTCAGAGGCTCATTGCCTTTCAGGAACACGACTTGCTCATCTGTGTATTCCCCAAGACTAACTAGCCAACTGCCTAGCACACACTGATAAGAAAATATGTGAGAGATCTGTAATCTTTTTCAAAGAAGGCAGACCTTACAGAATAGATAAAATTTGAGCTGGATCTTGAAGAATTGGCAAAATATTGATAGGCAGAGAGCATTTCAGACCAGAGGGTGGTAGTAGAGGTGTGAGCTGGATGACAGCCCAAAAAAAAATTGATGTAGGAAGATATAAAGCATTTTAGGGCCGGGCGCAGTGGCTCACGCCCGTAATTCTAACACTTTGGGAGGCCAAGATGGGTGGATTGCCTGAGCTCAGGAGTTTGATACCAGCCTGAGCAACATGACAAAACCCCGTCTCTACTAAAAATAGAAAAAATTAGCGAGGCGTGGTGGCACGCACCTGTAATCCCAACTACTGGGGAGGCTGAGGTACGAGAATCGCTTGAACCCGGGAGGCAGAGGTTGCAGTGAGTGGAGATCACACCACTGGGTGACAGAAATACAGTGCATTAGAAATAAAGAGACATTTTTAGTGTGCAATTTAAAAAGTTCCCTTTTGACAGGCTGAGTCGGATATGCCAGGGTCATCTCTAGGTAGTAATTTCCAAGCCTGGCTCTCAGAGCAGCTGCATCAGTCTCTGGGGAAGCTTGTGAAGGATATGGATTTCTGGATCCCATCTCATATCTACTGAATCAAAATGTCTTTGGGATGGGTCCTGAGTAATGTGGAGAAAACTTATTTTAAAAGAAGGTCTCTTTTTAACAAGTTCCTTGTAGGGGTTGAGGTAAGGGTGAAGCTGGGGCTCTGCAGACAGCCAAGTTAGGGTAATGATGACTTGCTCTGTCCTCCACTGAAGACAGGCATCTATTGCAGAGCATCTCTGGTGCTGGTTTTCCAGCCTCTATTTGTAAAAAGAACGAAGATAAACCTCCTTGGATTGATATATGAGGCTTCCAAAGCCTTTCCCTCCATTTTGGGCACAGGTGTCAAAAGCAGGCATGAGAGTTTCCACTCCTGTGCCTTTCCTCATGCTTTTCCCCTCTCCTCTTGCCCACCCGAAGTTCTCACACCTTTTCCAGACCAGCATATGCCCTAATTCTTCCAGTTAAGTCTCTCCATGCCAATCACGGCTGCAGCAAGCTCTGCATTGTCCCAACTCTAATAATTTTTATTCTCGGTGCCATTCATATGGCACTGAGAAAAAAATTACAATACAAGGTAGTAGTTCCTAACTCACCTCTTGGATTATAAGTTCCCTGAGAGCAGGGACTATATCTTATTTCTCTTGTCTCTCCTGCAGTGCCTAATACTGGGCAGGTTTAGGCAACATAAAGTAATGATTTAGTACAAGTCTTAATTGATTGCTCTGTGTGGTGTGATCAACTGTGGTCCAAAGAATCATCCCCTCCTCTGCTCTAATACTTCTGCAGCCCCTACCATCTCCACCTTCCTGCTGAGTATTCCTAGAAGAAAAATCATAAAGCATTTTCAACACACCCAGAAGGAGCCTGGAAGGGCTAGAGAACATGAGACCACATGTCAACTCAAGGTGTCAGGGAGGCAGGAAGTGTGTGGTTCATACTGCACATAGACTGTGTAGATGTAGGGACTATGGACCCATGCACCCCTATGAGTGCTTCCTATACTCCAGCAGGTACAGCAGAACAGGTGGACCTCTATTTTTCCAGCTGCTCCCTTAGGCCTGAGCTTTTCCCCTGGGACCAGGCACACAGCCTAAAAGTTCAGGCTTGGGGTTTTCAAAAAGACTGTGGTAATCATTGCTGCCCACTAAATATTTCCAGCTGGTTTCTCTTGAAGACCATGGCTGGATGGCACTTCCTGGTTTCTTCTGGCTGGGTTGGACCATGTGACAAGTTCTGGCTGATGTTTTTTCTTTCCCTCTACTATGGTAACCCAGCAATATTTGAGGAGGTGGGTGCTGTATTTGCCTGCATCCTGGAGGTGGGGGACATTGAGTAGACTCCCCAGCCATCCCATGATGAGCTACTTACAGCATGAACATGAAACTTTTTGTTGTAACATGGTTTGGGGGTTGCTTGTTCCACAGTTTAACCTAGCCTATCCTGACAGATACAAAGGCATGGTGAAAGTTGGCCAGGCATTGCAGCAGGCATCCTTGGGCTCCAGGTGGTGTCTGCTCGAGCTTAACTTCCCTTACATTGTCTGAGTGCTCTCACATTGAGCGTTACCCTGCAGCGGTTAGATGTGGTGAAGTGCTGGAGAACTTGCAGCTGGCCCTGGAGTCTCTCCCATGGAGCCAGTGCCAAGTTCCTGCCTCAAATCCCTCAGTGAAATTTGCAGATGCGGATGGTCAGGGCCATGGCTCTGAGAAGCTACCTCCTTTCCTTCTGCTGGGAGCTGGGAGACTCACAGTCCTCTGGGGTTGGCTGGCTGGAGGCCAGTGCCTCAAAAATATTCTATACCAGAGCCCTTGAGTACAGAGAAAAGTGAATGTATGTCCTGTGGGTCTGGACGCTGCCTGAAATGGCCCTTGGTGAGCCAGAAGGTGTGATAAATTGTCATACTTTAACAATCCATTAAATCTTGTCTCCTTTATAAAACTTCTGTGCTTGTTTTAATTTTAAAAGATTATTTTGATTTATTGACCAGAGTAAAAAATTTATTTGATGTTTCAAAACCCCTCTCTTGCTCCTGAAATGGGAACAATTCCCTCATCCGCCTCTCAGGGTGTGAGATGGGGGCTGCAGCTCACTTTGTCAGTGCCCCGCTGCTCAAACCTCTAGCGGGAGCATGTAGGCAGGCAGGCTGTGGGGCTTATCACAAGGACAGAGGGCTTTCTGTATCCTGGGGTTCTTGCCTTAGTGTGCCAGAAAAATTAGATCACGCGTGGGCTTGGGGGATGGGTGCAAGGCTTTTTATTAAGTGGTGGCAGCTCTCAGTGAGGTGGATGGAGAGGCCAGAAGGAGGATGGAGTGGGAAGGTGGCCTTTCCCTGGAGTCAGGCCACCCAGTGGCCGGGCCCTCCTCCGACTGGCCTCTGCTGAACTCCGTGTCGTCCCGTCATAGATGGCCTGCCGGCGTCTGCTGGTGTCTGCCCGTGTGTTCTTCTGCTGTTGAGTTCCTCTCGATGTCCAGCTGCTCGTGTCCGTGCCCACTAGGGTCTCAGGATGTTTAAAGGCACAGGATGGGGTGTGTGGCAGGCCAGGGTGGTCTTGGAAATGCCACATTTAGCCACAGAAACAGAAATACCTGTCCTCACCTAGGTCAGTGGGCACAGGCCTGAGGGTAGAGCCTTTGCCAGGGACCCTGCCTTTCTCTACCCAGCACTTTCCTGCCTCCCTCCTGTATCACTCCCACATCCCTCCTCACCCTGGACCTCCCTTTCAGGGGGTCCGTGCCTCCGTCTGAGAAGCATAGCTCCAGGCATCTCAGGTGTTGCTGAGTTTCCACCATGATGGCATCACCCTCTGCCAACCTGGAGGTAAGATCCTGATGTGGCATTAGAAAGCCAGGGGCAAGGTGGGCAAGTGGCAGATGTGTGGAGGAAGTTTCAGTGCCCTGGCATCCATGATTGCCTTTCAAGTTTTCTAGAAGCGTCCATAGCCTCAGTTATTCTGATATGGTGATGTTAAAACCTGCCTACACCTAGGGTGTTTATGACTGACAACAGCTTAGAGAGTGACCCGTCCCAGGGCCCTGGCATCTTCTCTGGGGTCAGAACTTTGAGCGACAGGAATGAACAACAGGGCATTCCAGACGCCCTCAGCAGAGTGCAAGTCTCTGCACCTGAGCTCTCCAGGGCAGGAGTGAGGTCACCTTGCGCCAGTGGAGGTGAGGTGGATGGTAAAAGAATATAGGAGGCCCTTCCATATTTGGAGCAAACTCCAAATATGGAAATATGGAAAAATCCAGACATAAGAAACAAGCATCAGAGTTTTGTTTTTAGATTCATTAAAAATTTTTAATAACTAAAGTTATTGAATTCTCCCATAACTAAAATCTCCACAGCTTTTGAAAATAGTGTTCTAGGTACAAAAATTAGATTTCTCAAGGAGTACTTACTGTGCAGAACATGGCCCACCCCAGCAATATTATTAATTATAATAGAAACAAGCTTATTACTCAGGTGCTGACTCATATTTACAAGAGATTTTGAAGTTTTATAGGTCTGACCTTTGAGTTGTCAATTTTTGAGGACCTCACAATAGTCTCTCATGGCTTTCAGAGTGGGGGAAGCCTGTCACATCAAAGCCTAGCCAGATGAAATGAAGAATATTTTATAGGGACACTGAGTCCTTTTGAGCTTGGCTAGGGACAAAACCCACTCAGTAGAAATTAGTCAACAAGTCTATACTGAGTACTTACTGGGTCCTCAGCCAGATTATATATGTGAAACGTATATAATCAAGGTGACAGTATTTTCTAAACAGAAAACTCACGGTTTTTAGTATAACAAAAGATCTTTATGTCATTTATTGGTGCTAAGAGATAGTCTGGGAGATGCAATTTGGACCTCAAATATAGAAAAATATGGGCCAATTTATGCATTCATTTGAATAAAAGAGAATATGTGAAATTATGATTGTCCAAGTATGCATGGTCCTTTGTTCAACAAAAACTGCCCAGGGTTCAGCACAAAGATGAAAGCTGCAGTCCTTGCCTCAAAGAGCTCACTGTCTAGTCAGAGATGGATGTGCAAATCAACAACAATCAGGGGATAGATGTGAAAACAAAATTCAGGAGAGTGAATAAGGAGTGCTAAGTCTTGTCTGGGACTCAGGGATCGCTTCTCAAAGCAGGTAACTTGAACTGAACAGAGAAGGATCAGTAGACGTTTGCTAAGCAAACTTGGGTCAAGAAATATTCCAGACAGGAAATAGAATGTCTGAAATATGGGGGAATTGGACCATGCATAGAGAATGACAAGAAAATTCAGTATGGTTAGAATGGTGGGTGGCCATAGGATGGGGTGAGGGATGAGAGGCGAGAAATAAGACTGAGGTGAGATCATAAGTAGTTCTGTATACCATGTTCATAATTTATTGTAATTTTTATGTTTTTTTTGAGACAGGGTCTCACTTTGTCTCCTGGGCTGGAATGCAGTGGCATGATCTCGGCTCACTGTAGCCTCAACCTTCTGGGCTCAAGCAATCCTCTTGCCTCAGCTTCCTGAATAGCTGGGACTACAGGTATACGCCACCACACCTGGCTAATTTTGTTTGTTGGTGGAGATGGGTTTTTGCCATGTTGCTCAGGCTGGTCTTGAACTCCTGAGCTCAAGCAGTCTACCTGTCTTGGCCTTCCAAAGTGTTAGGATTACAGGTGTGAACCACTGTACCCGGCCTCATGTACGTAATTTAGATGCTATTATCTAAGTCAAGTGCTATCAAATCATTTTAGCTCCAAGCCCCGTTCTTCAAATAAAAATCTGAGAAGTGCAATATAGAAATCGGATCAATGAGAAACTGCCCTGTGGGAGTCTCTCTCTCTGTCTCTCTGTGTGTGTGTGTGTGTGTGTGTGTGTATGTGTGTGTGAAGGGGGAGTTCACAAGCCCCCTGGCAGCTTGACCACTTCCACATCCCTACTGGAAGTTCTAGAAGAATTTCCACAGAAAACACTTTGGAAACCACTGATTTAGGAATTGGAGAGTAGCTGATAAATTCTGAGGAGGGAGAATTAGGTATTTTGAAAGATTACTCTTGAGGTTTTATGACTGGTTGCTGTAAAAGGAGTGTGGCTGATACCAAGAGATAAGCACAAAAGTTCAGGTGAGATAGCAAGAGGACAAATTGGAGCTCTCATTGTTGAGAAAAGAGGCCTTGATAAACACACCACCCTTTCAGCTTTGACCCTTGCAGGGCTAGATCAGCTTCATAAACACTCACATCCAATTTGGAATCATATCATTCCCAGACTGATCTATGATAATCTGCTTCTACTCTAACTGCCTGACAGGAGGAAAAGCAAATTTCTCTGAAAGAAGAGAACATCTTGTACAACCTCAAAATATTACATTTTCAAATATAGTATCTGTCACTCAATCAAAGACAACCAAACATGCAAAAAGATAAAATTGAGTGAGAATCAAGAGAAACACAGATGATAGATACAAATTCATGAAAAAGCCACATAGTAAAGTTACCAGACATAGACTTTAGGTTAACTGTTATTTATAAGTTTAAATGTGATTAATAAATGACCTGATGGATAATTTCAATGGAGAATTAGATATGATAAAAAGAATCAAACAGTCATTCTATAATGTAAATAAATAACTTAGTAGATGAGTTTAACAGCACAGTGGGCACAGCTGAAGCAAGAATTAGTAAACCAGAATGCAGGTCAGAAGAAAATATCCAGACTGATGCACAGCGAGACAAATAGTGAAAAATGTATAAAATCTAAAAGAGAATATGGGACATGGAGAAATGGCCTCTAACATATGCATAATCGGAAACCCAGAAAGACAGGAGAAAGAGAAAAGAGGTAGGAGTAATACATAAAGAGATATTGACCAATAATTTTTGGAGACAAATGAAATGAGACAAGCGCAACTTGCATGAGTTACAAATTCCAATTAGAATAAATAAAAAGGGAATGATATGAACTGATAAACATACTATGGTTTATTTATCATGGGAACTCTCTGTACCTTCTGTTTAATTTTGCTGTTAACCTAAAACTGTTCTTAAAAGTAGTCTATTAAAAAAAAAGATCCCTCACTTACGAAAAAGGAAACTAGGCCTACACTCACAGACAAACAACTGAAAACCAAAGGACAAAAGGAAATATTATATGTAGCCAGATAAAAAGGACATATTCATTTCAAAATAACATAAATAAGACCTATCACTAACTTTCAACAGAAAAATGGAAGCCAAAGGACAACAGAATGACACTTTGAAAGGACTGAAAGAAAATAGCTGACAATCTACAATTCTATACCCAACAAAAGTATCCTTCAAACACAAACATAAAATAAAGACACTTCCAAAAAGCAAAAACAGATAATTTGTTAGCAGCATATCCTTACTAAAGAAAATAAAGAGGGGGAGTTTTTAAGGCAAAAGAAAGATGAGTCAGATGAAAGAAGGTGTAAATGCAGAAAGGAATAAAGAGCAACAAAAAAAGTAAATATCCATGTAAGTCTGCATTAATTTTGACTATGTAAAGCAATAATAATAATTAATAATAATAATAATAACGTGTCTCATCTTTAAATTATATGTTGGGTTTTTCAAAATATGATAATAATAATAGAAAAGGCAAGATAGAGAGTAAATGGACTTAAAATGTTGTAACATCCTATATTGTCCAAGAGGCGTTAAGAGTAGTAACTTAAATAAGATTTTAATAAGTCATGGTTGTGTATTGTAACATCTAAAACACTGAAGGAATAGTAAAAGAATATATAACTTAATTAGTTTTGTAGGGACACTATAACAGATTACCACAAACTGGCTGGCTTAAAACAACAGAAATTTACTCTCTTATGGCTCAGGAGGCCAGAAGACCAAAATCAGGGCATTTTGGGAGCAGGGCCACGCTCCCATCAAAGGTTCTGGAGAGGGTGCTTCCTTGCCTTTTCCAGCTTCTGGTGGCTTCTGGCATTCCTTGGCTTGTGGCTGCATCACTCCAATCCCTGCCTTTGCCTTCACATGGCCTTACCTATGTGTCTGTGCAGTCTGTGTGTCCTTTTCTGTCTCTTATAAGGGCATTATCATCATTTGACTTATAGCCCACTCTAAGCTCTAATTTAATTGCATCTATAAAAACTGTATTTCCAAATAAGGTAACATTCTGAGGTTCTGGATGGACATGAATTTTGGGGGAACACTATTTAGCTCACTACAATAACTAGCAAAGAAGATTTTAAAAAGTAGAGAAAAAGGAATATAGAAGAGTTGAGAACATGAAAAAACAAATAATAATAATAATAACGTATAAAAGCAAATATATCAGTAATTAAGTGAAATGAAGTAATTAAAAACAAAAATTTCTAAAATTAGAATTAATATAATCTCCAAACAATGAAATTATAAGAGCCATACTTTGAAGCTGAAGATATGTAACATAAAATGACAGGGAAAATATGTACCATGCAAACCTAACAAAAAGAAACTACGTAAAGTTATAGTCCACAAATTATATTTTAAACAAGAAGCATTCCTACAGATAGAGATATTTCATAATGATACCAAGGTCAACTCATCAGAAACATTAAAACAAATTTAAATTTTAGTGCACAGAATATCACAGTCTCAAAATAGATAAAGCAATAATTAAGAGAACTAACAGAAAAAGTGTTTTGATATATAATCATAGTGGGTGATTTTATTTTATTTGTTTTAAAATTAAACATTCAAAGCCAATTGTTCTGAAGAGTGGGTGACTTCAATAACCTCTTTCCATAACTGATAGAAAAAGTGGGGAAAATTAGAAAAGATGGGGGGCCTGAAAAATCTCAATTAATAATTTTTTTCTAAGCTGGGCACAGCGATGCATGCCTGTAGTCCAGCTACTTCAGAGGCTGAGGTGGGAGGATCACTTGAGCTTAGGAGCCTGAGAACAGCCCGGGCAACATAGCAAGACTCTGTCTCAAATAAAAAATTTTGATTTACTTTACAAGTATAAAACAGTATGCAACGATTGAAGAATAAACTTTCATTTAAGTGCACATGGAAAATTTACCAAAATTCACCATATGTTAGGTCATCAAGCGAGCTTCAACAAATTTTGGAAGACTGAACTAATAAACTATATTCTTGGCCACAGTAGAATAGGCTTGAAATCCATAACAAAAACATGATGAGATAATCCTCAAATGTTTGGAAATCAAACAATACGCTTCTAAATAACTCATAGAAATTAGAAAATACTTTGAAGAGAATGATAAAATGAAAATCGAACATATGTAAAGTTTGCATGTTACAGCTTAAGCCATGCTTAGAGGGAAATTTAAATCCTTAAATTCACATATTAGGAAGAAAGGCTAAAAAACCATATATGTAGCCATACCACAAAATTAGAAAAAGAAACAAATTAAACCTGATCAATGCAGAAGAAATGAAATAATAAAGACAAAAACAGAGCGACATTACCAAGATGGCAGAACAGAAGGTAGTCTGCTCATATACCCGCACAACAAAAACAACAACAATTCTATATGCATCAACAGTCAGAAATCTGTCTGTGGGAGCCTCAGGATTCAGGTAGGTGTTTGTGAAACTTCAGTGGAGTCCAAGACCTTGGAGGGTCATTTTGAGAGTACAGATTAACACCCAGGTGACTGATTCATCAAACTTGCTCTTGGGTTCAAGCTCCGAAATGACAGTCCTCCGAGATCCTGGCTACAGCTCCGTTTGGCTTTGAGCTTGTAACAGAAACCATCTGCCAAGGGGGCCACGAGGAACTGCGTACACTACTGCCTTGGTGGAAAAGCTCATCTGCCCACTGACATTGGTCATGGCAGTGAACCTGAAAGTTGCCCTGTAACTCAGCTACAGCTCTCCTTAGCTAAGATCCCAGCTCAGAGCTGCTCACACAAGGATCTGAAGGGAGACTTGCCCATATCTCACAACTCAGGAGTCTGGGCCTCCTTATTGGGCCTGCCAACTTCCATCTCACCACAGATCCCAAGGGGATCCAGCTTCAGTTCTGGCCCTCCTGCTGCAATCAGAGAATGATCCTCTCTGTGCTTAGATCTGCTGGGAAACCTATACTTGTCTGGGCCAATGAGACAGGCTCTCCAGCTTCTGTCTCACAGCACATCCCAAGGGGGCCCAGTCCTAGCCCCAGCAACTCCTGCTGCAATCAAGGAACCATCTTGTCTGTGCAGGGACTTGCCAGGACACACATACTCCTCTAAGCCAGTGACGGTGGGCTCTCCAGCTTTTGCCATACAACAGATCTTCAGGGGGCCTGGTCTCATCTCTATCCCCTCCTGCTGCAGTTGAGAAACTATCCTGTCTATGCAGGGACCTGCTGGGAGATGCCTGCCTCTATGAGCCAATGTGATAGCCTCTGTTCCACTGTAGATCCTGAGGGGAGCAAGTCTCAGCTCTGGTCCCTCCTGTTGTAGTCAAGGAATAACCCTGGTTGTGCAGGGACCTGCTGGGTGATGCATGCCCACCTGAGCCAATGAGACAGGCCGGTCTGTCCCACAGCAGATCCTGAGCGGGGGGCAGTCTCAACTTCAGCCCATCTCACTATTTTTGGGGACCCATCCTACCCATGCAGAGGCCTGCTGGGAAGCATGCCCATCTGGGCCACCAGGACAGTCTTGTGGACTCAGGTTCCTGGCCAGCATTCCAGGAATGCTGGCTCTTACCCAGGTTTATCGGACCTGGAAAGCCACATCAACCTAGAAGTCCTTGTGAGACTTGTGGTAAGCCTGAGTTTAGAGTATCCTCTGTTGCTGAGATGGCTGCAGTGGTCATAGTCTGAGGAAATTCAACAGTTCATTCTTAGAATCCCTGGAAGAACTTCTGAAGGACAGGCACAAACAAAGCCAGGCTGTAAAGACTAAAATAAATACCTAACCCCTCAATCCAAAGACATTGTCACACATGCACAAGCATCAAGAACATTCAGGGAAATATGACCTTACTAACATACAAAATAAGGTGCCAGAGACTGACCCTAAAGTGATGGAGATGTGTAATCTCTCAGCCAAAGAATTTAAAACAGCTATTTAGGCCAGGTGCAGTGGCTCACGTCAGTAATCCCAGCACTTTGGGAGGCCGAGGCGGGCGGATCACGAGGTCAGGAATTTGAGACCAGCCTGGTCAACATAGTGAAACCCTGTCTCTACTAACAATACAAAAATTAGCTGGGCATGGTGGTGTGTGCCTGTAGTCCCAGCTGCTTGGGAGGCTGAGGCAGGAGAATTGCTTGAACCCGGGAGGCAGAGGTTGCAGTGAGCCGAGATTGCACCACTGCACTCCAGCTTGGGCGACAGAGTGAGACTTCATCTAAAATACAAACAAACAACAACAACAAAAAAACCCCAGCTATTTAAAAGAAGCTCAGTGAACTTTAAGAAAGCACATAGAGCCAATTCAGAAAATTATCAGAGATTGAAATAATTTTAAAAAACAAACAGAAATCCTGGAGCTGAAAAACACAGTGAATAAAATGAAAAATGCAATAGAGATCATCAATAACAGAATTGATGAAACTGAAGAAAGAATCAAGCTCAAAGATCAACTATTTGAAAGTACACATCAGAGGAGCAAAAAGTTTGAAAAAATGAAGAAAGCTGACAGGTCCCATGGGACAATATCAAAAGAGCAAGCATTCAGGTTGTTGAAGCTAAGGAGGAAACTGAGAAAGACAAAGGTGTAGAAAGGTTATTCAAAGAAATAGCAGAAAACTTTCCAAACCTGGAGAATGATATAACTACTCAGGTACAGTAAGGTCAAAGGTCATCAGTGAGATTCAACCCAAATAAGAATATCCTAAGACTTGTTATAATCAAACACTCAAAGGTCAAAGACAAAGAGAAGATCCTGAAAGTAGTGAGAGAAAAGAAGCAAGTAACAGGTAAGGGAGATCCAGTATGCATGGAAGCACACTTCTCAGCAGAAAACTTACAGGCCAGAAAGGGGTGGAATGATATATTCAGAATGCTGAAGAAAAAAGGCTGCAAACTAAGAATATTATACCCAGGAATGCTGTCCTTTAGAAATGAAGAGGAGAGAAATACTTTCCCAAACAAAAGCTGAGGAAATGTATCATTACCAGAACTGTCCTGTAAGAAATGCTAAAGGAAGTTCTTCAAACTGAAAGGAAAGGATGCTAATGTAACTGTTATACTAATATTGTAATTGTGATGTATAAACCATTTATATCTTTACTAAGTAGACTAAAAGACAAAACTATTAAAAGCAATAATTACTAGGCCGGGTATGGTGGCTCATGCCTGTAATCCCAGCACTTTGGGAGGCCAAGGTGGGTAGATCCCCTGAGGTCAGGAGTTCAAGACTAGCCTGGCCAACATGGTGAAACTTGTCTCTACTAAAAATACAAAAATTAGCCAGGCATGGTAGCAGGTGGCTCTAATCTCAGCTACTCAGGAGGGTGAAGCAGGAGAATCACTTGAACCCAGGAGGTGGAGGTTGCAGTGAGCCGAGATCACACCACTGCACTCCAACCTGGGCAACAGAGTGAGACTCTGCCTCAAAAAAAAAAAAAGGTATCTACTACATGTTGTTGAGAAATAGGCAATATGAAAGGGCAAATTGTGACATCACAAATTCAAAATGTGGGGCAAGAAGGAAGAAAGTTAATGTGTATCGTTTTTTTTCTTTATAAAAGGTAAGTTGGTATTTCATGTACTTTGCTTCTTTCTCCCTACCGAAATCTCACCTTGAATTGTAATCCCCATAATACTCACATGTCAAGGGTGGGACCCGGTTGGAGGTAATTGAGTCATGGGGGCAGTTTCTCCCATGCTGTTCTCATGATAATGACTGAGTCTCACAAGATTTGATGGTTTTATAAGTGTCTGGCATTTCCCCTGCTAGCACTCATTCTCTCTCCTGCCACCCTGTGAAGAGGTGTCTTTCTCCATGATTGTGTTTCCTGAGGCCTCCCCAGAGCTGCAGAACTGTGAGTCAATTAAACCTCTTTTCTTTATAAATTACCCAGTCTTGGGTAGAATGAACTAATAGAGTATTAGTTTTTTTTTTCACTTTAAAAAAAAAGTCTTTATTGAGATTAAATTCACATACCCTACAATTCACTCACTTAAAGTATACAATGGTTTTAGTATATTCACAGACTTGTGCATCTGTCACACAATCAAGTTTAGAACATTTTCATTACTCCCAAAAGTAACCCATACCTTGTAGCCATCACCGTATGTTACCCAAATCCCCCAGTCCTACACAATCACTAATCTACTTTCTATCTCTACAGATTTGCCTATTTGGAACATTTTCTGTGAATGAAATTGTGTAATATGTGGTACTTTGTGAATGGCTTCTTTTACTTAGCATAATTTTCAAGGTTCATGTCATTTGTTTTTTCAGATTTCCAAATTCTGTCCTGGATCAAGTTAGACAACCAGATGTCTACATGCTAGGATGATAATAGTTTATCTCAGACGTTTTATTTATTTACTTATTTTATTTTTATTTTTTAAATTTATTTTTAAATTTTTTAAATTTTTATATTTCAATAGGTTTTGGGGGGAATAGGTGGTGTTTGGTTACATGAATAAGATCTTTAGTGGTGATTTCTGAGTTTTTAGTGTACCCATCACCTGAACAGTGTACACTGTACCCAATGTGTAGTTTTTTATCTATCACCACCTGTCACCCTTTCCCCCAAGTCCCCAAAGTCCAATGTTTCATTCTTATGTTTTTGTGTCCTAATACCTTAGCTCCCACATATGAGTGAGAACATACAATGTTTGGTTTTCCATTCCTGAATTGCTTCACTTAGAATAATAGTCTCCAATTCCATCCAGGTTGCTGCAAATGCCATTATTTTTTCCTTTTTATGGCTGAGTAGTATTCTATGGTATATATATGCCACATTTTCTTTATCTACTTGTTGATTGATGGACATTTGGGCTGATTCCATATTTTTGCAATTGCAAATTGTGCTGCTATAAATATCTGTGTGCAAGTATTTTTTTCTTGTGTAATGACTTCTTTTCCTCTGAGTAGATACCTAGCAGTGGGATTGCTGGATCAAACAGTAGATCTACTTTTAGTTCTTTAAGGAATCTCCACAATGTTTTCCAGAGTGGTTGCACTAGTTTACATTCCCACCAACAGTGTAAAAGTGTTCCCTTTTCACTGCATTCATGCCAACATCTTTTATTTTTTTTGATTGTGGCCATTCTTACAGCAGTGAGGTGGTATTGCATTGTGGTTTTGATTTGCATTTCCCTGATAATTAGTGATGTTGAACATTTTTCCATATGCTTGTTGGCCACTTGCATATCTTCTTTTGAGAATTGTGTATTCATGCCTTAGCCCATTTTCTGATGGGAGTATTTGTTTTTTTCTTGCTGATTTGTTTGAGTTCTTTGTAGATTCTGGATATAGCCCTTTGTCAGATGTGTAGATTGTGAAGAGTTTTTTCCCATTCTGTGGGGTGTCTGTTAACTCTGCTGATTATTTCTTTTGCTGTGCAGAAGCTTTTCAGTTTAATTAAGTCCCATCTATTTATTTTTGTTTTTGTTGCATTTGCTTTTGGGTTGTTGGTCATAAAGTCTTTGCCTAAGCCAATGTGTAAAAGGGTTTTTCCAATGTCATCTTCTAGAATCTTTATGGTTTCAGGTCTTAGATTTAAGTCTTTGATCCATCTTGAGTTGATTTTTTTATAAGGTGAGAGATGAGGATCCAGTTTCATTCTTCTACATGTGGCTTGCCAATTATCCCAGCACCATTTGTTGAAAAGGGTGTCCTTGTTCCACTTTATGGTTTTGTTTGCTTTGTCGAAGATCAGTTGGCTGTAAGTATTTGGCTTTATTTCTGGGTTCTCTATTCTGTTCCATTGGTCTATGTGCCTTTATACCAGTACCATGCTGTTTTGGTGAATGTGGCCTTATAGTATAGTTTGGAGTCAGGTAATGTGATGCCTCCAGGTTTGTTCCTTTTGCTTAGTCTTACTTTGGCTATGCGGGCACTTTTTTGGGTCCATATGAATTTTAGGATGGTTTTTTCTAGCTCTGTGAAGTATGGTGGCAGTATTTTGATGGGAATTGTGTTGAATTTTTATGTTGCTTTTGTCAGTGTGGTCATTTTCACAATATTAATTCTACCCATCTATGAGCATGAGATGTGTTTCCATTTGTTTGTGTCGTCTATTATTTCTTTCAGAAGTGTTTTGCAATTTTCCTTGCAGAGGTCTTTCATGTCCTTGGTTAGGCGTATTTCTAAGTACTTTATTTTATTTTATTTTTTTGCAGCTGTGGTGAAAGGAGTTGAGTTCTTGATTTGTTTCTCAGCTTGGTCGCTGTTGGTGTATAGCAGAGCTACTGATTTGTGTACATTAATTTTGTATCCTGAAACTTTGCTGAATTCACTTACCAGTTCTAGGAGCTTTTTGAATGAGTCTTTAGTGTTTTCTAGGTATACAAATATATCATCGGCAAACAGCAACAGTTTGACTTATTCTTTACCAATCTGGATGACCTTTATTTCTTCCTCTTGTCTGATTGCTCTGGCTAGGACTTCCAGTATTATGTTGAAGAAAATTGGTGAAAGTGCTATCCTTGTCTTGTTCCAATTATCAGGGGGAATGCTTTCAGATTTTCCCTGTTTAGTATAATGTTGACTGTGGGTTTGTCATAGATGGCTTTAATTACATTAAGTTATGTCCCATCTATGCCAATTTTGCTGAGCATTTTAATCCTACAGGGATGCTGGATTTTATCAAATGCTTTGTTTTTGCATCTATTGAGATGATCATGTGATTTTTGTTTTTTATTCTGCTTATGTGGTGTATCACATTTATTGACTTATGTATGTTAAACCATCCCTGCATCCCTGGTATGAAACCCACCTGGTCATGGTGGATTATCTTTTTGGTATGCTGTTGGATTTGGTTCGCTAGTATTTTGTTGAGGATTTTTGCATCTATGTTCATCAGGGATATTGGTTGTTTCCTTTCCTTGTTATGTCCTTTCCTTTTTTTAGTATTAGGGTGATACTGACTTCATAGAATGATTTAGGGAGGGGTCCCTCTTTCTCTGTCTTTTGGAATGGTGTCAATAGGATTAGTACCAATTCTTTGAATGTCTGCTAGAATTCTGATGTGAATCCATCTGGTCCTGGACTTTTTTTTGTGTTGGCAAGTTTTAAAATTACCATTTCAATCTTGCTGCTTGTTGTTGGTCTGCTCAGAGATTCTATATCTTCCTGGTTTAATCTAGGAGGGTTGTACATTTCCAGGAATTTATCTGTCTCCTCAAGGTTTTCTAGTTTATGCACGTAAAGGTGTTCATAGTAGCCTTGAATAATCCTTTGTATTTCTGTGCTATCAGTTATAATGTATCCCATTTTGTTTCTACTGAGCTTATTTAGATCTTCTTTCTTCTTTTCTTAGTTAATCTTGCTAATGGACTGTCAATTTTATTTATCTTTCCAAAGAACCAGCTTCTTGTTTCATTTATCTTTTATATTTTTGTTGTTGCTGTTGTTTCAATTTCATTTAGTTCTGCTCTGATCTTTGTTATCTCTTTTCTTCTCCTGGGTTTGGGTTTGAGTTGTTCTTGTTTCTCCATTTCCATGAGGTGTGACCTTAGATGTCTATGTGTGCTCCTTCAGACTTTTTGATGTAGGCATTTAATGCTATGAACTTTCCTCTTAGCATCACTTTTGCGGTATCCCAGAGGTTTTGATAGGTTGTGTTACTATTATTGTTCAGTTCAAAGAATTTTTAAATTTCCATCTTGATTTCATTGTTGACCCAAATTCAGGTGCAGGTTATTTAATTTCCATGTTTTTGCATGGTTTTGAAGGTTTCTTGTGGAGTTGATTTCCAATTTTATTCCACTGTAGTCTCAGAGAGTACTTGAAATAATTTTCATTTTCTTAAATTTAATGAGACTTGTTTTGTGGCCTATAATATGGTCTATCTTGGAGAATGTTCCATGTGGTGATGAAAAGAATGTATATTCTTTAATTGTTGAGTAGAATGGTTTGTAAATATCTGTTAAGTCCACTTGTCGTAGGGTATAGATTAACTCCATTGTTTGTTGATTTTCTGTCTTGATGACGTATCTAGTGCTGTCAGTGGAGTATCAAAGTCCTGCACTATTATTGTGTTGCTGTCTATCTCACTTCTTAAGTCCAGTAGTAATTCTTTTGTAAATTTAGGAGTGCCAGCATTATGTGTATATATATTTAGAGTTGTGATATTTTCCTGTTGAACTAGTCCTTTTATCATTATATAATGTCCCTCTTTGTCTCTTTTAACTGCTGTTGCTTTAAGGTTTGTTTTGTCTAAGAATAGTTGCTCTTGATTGCATTTGGTGCCCATTTGCATGGAATATCTTTTTCCACCCCTTTACCTTATGTGAGTTTTTATGTGTCAGGTGAGTCTCCTAAAGACAGCAGAAACTTGAGTGGTGGATTTTGATCAATTCTGCCATTCTGTATCTTTTAAGTGGAGCATGTTGGCCATTCACATTCAATGTTAGTATTGAGATGTGAGGTACTATTCTATTCATTGTGCTATTAGTTACCTTAATACCTTGTTAGGTTTTTTTAAATTGTGCTATTGTTTTATAAGTCCTGTGAAATTTATGCTTTAAGAGGTTATATTTTGGTGTATTTTGAGGTTTTGTTTTAAGATTTAGAGCTACATTTAGCAGTTCTTCTAGTGCTGGCTTGGTAATGGCAAATTCTCTCAGCATTCTCTCAGCAGTCACAGGCCTCACCCTGCACCCTGCTCCCATGCAGCCTGCAGTCCTAAAGGTCAGTCTCACTCCCATCGTGCCCCCCAATAGCACCAAGTCTATTTCAAGGCAGCCAGTGACCAGGGGCTGAGAACTTTCCCCAGAACACAAGCCTCCCTGTTGAGAAAGCAAGCGTGCTCACAGTTTTTTGGCATCTCAGGGAGTCTGCGGCACTGATTCAGTTCCTTCAATGGGCTTGTGGATTCTCTTGGCTTTCTTGGTATGTTTATGTGGTAGCTCTTGGAGCAAAAGTTCACAAGGTGATTCTCCACGTGCTGCTCTGTCCATCCAAGTGGGAGCTGCAAGCTAGTCTCACTTCCTATCTGCCAACTTCAACCCCCATTCTGGTATTAGTTTTAAATAACTTGTTATAACTATAGAATTTTTTGTAAGCTTCATTGTAATCACAAAACAAAAATGTATACTAGACACATTAAAAATAAAAAGCAGGCCAGGCGCGGTGGCTCACACCTGTAATCCCAGCACTTTGGGAGGCTGAGGCGGGCGGACCATGAGGTCAGGAGATTGAGGCCATCCTGGCTAACATGGTGAAACCCCGTCTCTACTAAAAATACAAAAAAATTAGCCAGGCATGGTGGCAGGCACCCGTAGTCCCAGCTACTCAGGAGGCTGAGGCAGGAGAATGGCATGAACCCGGGAGGTGGAGCTTGCAGTGAGCCGAGATCCTGCCACTGCACTCCAGCCTGGGCAATACAGTGAGACTCCATCTCAATAAATAAATAAATAAATAAATAAAAATAAATAAATAAAAAGCAACAAATTAAAACATAATACTAGAGAAAATCACTTAACCACAAAGGAAGACAGGAGTTACAAAACAACTAGAAAACAAGTAACAAAATAGCAGCAGTAAGTCCTTAATAATAACACTGAAAGTAAAAGCACTAAATTCTCCAATTAAAAGACAGAGAGTGGCTGAATAGATTTAACAACAAGACTTAAGTATATATTGCTTACAAGAAATTTACTTCACCTATAAAAGCCCAGATAGAATGAAAGTGAAGGGTTGGAAAAAGATATTCCATGGAAACAAACAAACAAAAAAGAGCAGCAGTAACTAAAGTGTATATCATATATTTGTATCAGATATAATAGACTTTAAATCAAAAACTGTAAGAAGAAACAAGGATGGTCATTACATAATGATAAAGGTATCAATTCAGCAGGAGGATATACCCATAATAAACACATATGCATTCAACAGTGGATCACCCAGATATATAAAACAAGTATTAAAATATCTAAAGGGAGAGACAGACTGTGATACAACAATAGTAAGGGACTTCAACACCCCTCTTTTGGCAATGGGTATATAATCAAGGCAGAAAATCAACAAAGAAACATTGGAGTTAAATTTTGCTGTAGACCAAGTGGACCTAACAGACATTTATAAAACATTGAAACCAACTGCTGCAGAATACATTTATCTCATCAATCCACAGGACATTCTCCAGAATAGACCATGTGTTAGGCCACACAACAAATCTCAACAAATTCAAAACAGTGAAGATCATATCAAGTATTTCTTCTGACCACAATGGAATAAAACTAGAAATCAATAACAAGAGGCACCTTGTAAACTGTACAGATACATGGAAATTACACAACATACTCCTGAATGACCAGTGGGCCAATGAAGAAACTAAGAAGGAAATTGTTAAGGAATTTGAAATAAATGAAAATGGAAATACAACATACCAAAATCTATGGGATACAGCAAAAGCAGTATTGAGGGTGAAGTTTATAGCCATAAGCACTTACATTAAAAAATGGAAAGACTTCAAATAAACAACCTAACAGTGCACCTCAAGAAACTAGAAAAGAGGAAACCCCAAAGTAGTAGAAGGAAAGAAATAATAACGATCAGAGCAAAAAAAAAATGATATTAAGACTAAAAAGAAATATTTAAAAAAATCAATGAAACAAAAAGTTGTGTTTTTTTTGCAAAGATAAAATTGACAAACCTTTAGCTAGACTACAAAAAGAAGAGTGAAAACCCAGATAAATAAATTAAAATATTACAAGGGATACCACAGAAATAGAAAAGATCATTAGAGACTACTATGGACAAATATATGCCAATAAATTGGAAAACTTAGAAGAAAAGGATAAATTCCTGGGCACATACAACTACCAAAGTTGAACCATGAAGATACAAAAGAACCTGACCATACCAATAATAGGTAATGAGATCAAAACAGTAGTAAAAACTCTTTAATTGAAGAAAATCCCAGGACATGATGAATTCACGGCTGAACTCTACCAACAATTTAATGAAGAACTAATACCAATTATTCTCAAACTATTTCAACAAATTTAAGAGGTGAGAATACTTCCAGACTCATTCTAGGAGGCCAGCATTACCCTGATACCAAAACCAGACAAGGTCACAACAACAACAAAAGAAAACAATAGGCCAATATCACTGATAAATATAGATGCAAGAACACTCAACAAAATACTTGCAAATGGAATTCAACAACACATTAAAAAAATCATTCACCAGGGATGCAAGGATGGTTCAACATATGTAAATGAATAAATGTAACACATTGCATTAACAAAACTGGGGATAAAACCATATGATAATTTCAATAGATGTCAAAAAGCATTCAATAAAATTCAACATCTCTTCATGATAAAATCTATTGGATATAGAGAAACGTACCTCAACATGATAGAGGCCATATGTAACAAACACACAGCTAATGTCATACTTAATAGTGAAAAGTTGAGAGCCTTTCCACTAAGATCTGGGACAAGACAAGGATGCCCACTTTCTCTACTTCTATTCAACATAGTACTGTAAGTCCTAGGCATAGCAAGTTAGGAAGATAAAGAAAGAAAGGGCATCAAAATTGGAAACGAAGAAGTCAAATTATCCTTTCTTGAAGATGATATAATCTTACATTTAGAAACACCTACAGTCTCCACTAAAAACTCTTAGAAATGATGAACAAATTCAGTACAGTTGCAAAATACAAAATCAACATACAAAAGTCAGGAATATTTTTATGCACTGACAGTAATCAATTTGAAAAATAAATCAAGAAAACAGTCCAATTTACAACAGCTTACAAAAATAATAAAATACTTGGAACTCAATTTAACCAAAGAAGTAAAAGACTACAACAAGGAAAACTGTAAAACACTGATGAAATCAATTGAAGAGGACACCAAAAAATGAAAAGAAATCCCATACTCATGAATTAGAAGAATCAATATTGTTAAAATGTCTATGCTACCCAAAGCAATATACAGATTCAATGCAATCCCCATCAAAATACCAATGCCATTTTCACATAAATAACAAAAATATCCTATAATTTGTGTGGAACCAAAAAAGATCCTGAACATGATACTGGCATAAAAACAGACATATAAACCAATGAAAAGAATAGAGAACCCAGAAATAAATCCATGCACTTAC
Source organism: Homo sapiens (assembly GCF_000001405.40). Classification (NCBI taxonomy): domain Eukaryota; kingdom Metazoa; phylum Chordata; class Mammalia; order Primates; family Hominidae; genus Homo; species Homo sapiens. The sequence continues at coordinate 149,519,687 of NC_000007.14, forward strand.
AGCCAACTCATTTTAGACAAACGCACCAAAACATACATTGAGGAAAGGATAGTCTCTTTAATACATGGTGCTGGGGAAACTGTATATACGTATGCAGAAGAATGAAAATATATTCCCATCTTTCACCATGTGCAAAAGTCAAATCAAAATGGATTAAATTCTTAAAGGTAAGACCAAAAACTATGAAACTACTGAAAGCAAACATTGGGGAAACATTACAAAGACATTGGTATGGGCAAAGATGTTTTTGGGTTAGACCTCAAAAACATGGGCAACAAAAGGAAAAATAGATAAATGGGTTTACATCAAGCTAAAAAGCTTCTGCGCAGCAAAGGAAACAATCAACAAAGTGAAGAAACAACATACAGAATGGGAAAAAATATTTGCAAACTACCAATCTGACTATATATATATAGATATAGATATATAGATATAGATATATCTCAGAATATATAAGAACCTTAAACAAAATAGCAAAAAAACCAAATGACCTAACTAAAAATCACGCAAAAGACCTGAATAGACATTTCTTACAAGAAGACATAAAAATGGTACAAATGGCCAAAGGTATATGAAAAACTGCTCAACATCACTAATAATTAGGAAAATGCAATTCAAAAGCACAATAAAATATTATCTCACCCCAGTTAAAATGGCTATCATAAAAAAGACAAAAGGGCTGGGCGTGGTGGCTCATGCCTGTAATCCCAACACTTTGGGAGGCCGAGGCAGGCAGATCACGAGGTCAAGAGATTGAGACCATCCTGACCAACATGGTGAAATCCCGTCTCTACTAAAAATACAAAAATTAGTTGGGCATGGTGGCCTGTGCCTGTAGTCCCAGCTACTCGGGAGGCTGAGGCAGGAGAATCACTTGAACCCGGGAGGTGGAGGTTGCAGTGAGCCGAGACCATGCCACTGCACTCCAGCCTGGCGACAGAGCGAGACTCCGTCTCAAAAAACAAACAAAAAACAAAAAAATTCTGGCAAGGCTGTGGAGAAGGGGGAATCCTCATCCGCTATTGGTGGGAGTGTGAAGCCGTATAGCCATTATGGAGAACAGTGTGGAGATTCCTCTAAAACTTACAAATTGAACTATCATATGATCCAGCAATCCCACTTCTGTATATATATCTAAAAGAAGGGATATCAGTATATTGAAGAGATACCCGCATTCTTATCTTTATTGCAGCAAAATTCACAATAGCCAAGATATGGAATCAACCTAAGTGGCCATTAACATATGAATGGATAAAGAAAATGTGGTCTATATACACAACGTAATTATTATTCAGCCATAAAAAAAGAATAAAATCCTATCATTTGCAGCAGGATGGATGGAACTGGAGGTCATTATGTTAAGTAAAATAAGCCAAGCACAGAAAGACAAATATTGCATCTTCTCACTCATATGTGGGAGCTAAAATAGTGAATCTCATGGAGGTAGAGAGTAGGGTGGTGCTGACCAGAGGCCAGGGAGGGATGAAGGAAGGGAAGGCTGAATAGAAGTTTGTTAAGGAGTATAAAAATACACTTAGATCAAAAGAATAAGATCTAGTGTCTGATAGTACAATAGGGAAACTATAATAAACAATAATTATTATAGATTTCAAAATAGCTATGAGAGAAGAATTGTAATGTTCCCAAGATAAGTGTTTGAGGCGATGGATAGTGAAATTACCCAGGTTTGATCATTATACATTATATATAGGTGTCAAAATATCACATGTACCCCAAAATATGTACAACTATTATATATCTGTAAAAAAGATTTAGAAGGTAAATAAATAATGAAGATAAGAACAGAAACAAAACATTTATAGATAGAATCAACAAAGCCAATGTTCATCAGTGAAAAAGACTAACAAAATTGATAAGTCATTAGCAAGACTGATAAAGAGAGAAAAAAACAAGGCATATATAGCCAATATCAGTAATAATAAAATGGAAGAGCACTTCAGATCCTGGAGACAACAAAGAGATAAAAGAGGGATTTTATGAACAAGTTGATGCCAATACATCTGAAAAAATAGATGTAATTTTCAAGGAATTTTCAAATTCCTAACAACATAATTTATTAAAACTGACCAAGAAGAAATAAAAAATTGAATTCACTTATATCTGTTAAATAAGTTCTCTACTAAAAGCCTTCCCAGAAAGAAAACTTGATTCTCAGATGGCTTCACTGGTGAATTCTTCTAAATATGTAAGGAAGAACTAATATTAATCTTATGTACAACCTTTCAGGGAATTAGAAACATACGACATACTTCTTAACATATTATATAAGGCCAAAATACATTGATATTAAAACCTGATAAAGACAAGAGAAGAAAATTGTAGGCAAATCTATCTTGTGAACTAGATGAAAATATCCTAAACAAAATATTAACAGATGAATCCAACAATATTTAAAAGGATAAAGCATTATGACTGATCAGATTTATTCCAGGAATTAAAGGTTAACATTTGAAAATCAATATAATTCATTACATTAACAGAATAAAGGAGAAGAATCACAAAATCATCTTAATCAATGCACAAACAGCATTTGAAAAACTCAACATCTGTTTATGAGTAAAAACTATTAGCATAATATGGATAGAAGTTGTAGTTTCCTATGGCTGCTGTGACAAATAACCAGACTAGGTGGCTTAAAAGTATACATTTATTATTTTACAGGTTCTGTAGGCCAGAAGTCCAAAATGAGTTTCACCAGGCCTAAATCAAGTCAGCAGGCTGCACTCCCACCATAGTCCCTAGGGGAAAGACCACTCTTTGCTTCTTTTAGCTTCTGGTGGCTGTTGGCATTTCTTGGCTTGTGCTCACATCCCTTCAATCTTAGCCTCTGTGGTCATATTGCCTTCTTCTCTGTAAATCTCTCTTTGCCTGTCTTTTATACAGATACTCTTGATTTATTGCATTTAGGGTCTATCCAAATAACCTAGAATAATCTCCCCATCTCAAGATCTTTAACTTAATCACATTTGCAAAGACCCGTTATCTGTGTTAAGGTGACAGTTAGAGGTTCCAGAGATTAGGACCTGATATTTTTTGGGGCCATTACTCAGCCTACCATTGAAGGCAACATTATTAGTCTGATAAAGGGTGTTATAAAACTTCGATAGTAAGTACCACATTCAAGGAGGAAATATTGGAAAGGTTTTCTTTGAGAATGGGAAAAAGGAACTGATACCTGGGGTTACGATTTATATTCAAAAGGGAATGTAAAGCAAGAATGATAAGAATAGAAGAAATAAGATTGTCATTATTCATAGATGATATTGTGCATGCAGAAAATCCAAAATAATATACAGATCAACTATCAGAATTAATAAGTGAACATAGCAGGTCATTAGATACAAGATGAAGCCACAAAAATTAGTCCTATTTCTGTATGACAGAAATATGAAAGTTAGAAAAATTTCAAACAATTCTATTTACAACATAAAAATCCACTACAGAGGAATGAAAGTGAAGTTGTGCAAGATTTCTACACAGAAAACTATAAAATGTCATTGAACATGATATTTTATTTAAAAAAATGATAGGATATACTAAATTAGTGGAATGATGGACTAAGTGTGGTAACAATATCAGTTGCTCCCTCATCTTTATAGACTCAGAGTGATTTCAACCAAAATCACATTCTTTTTGTGGATATTGACATGCTAATTCTAAAATTTTAATGGACATTTCAAAGGCCAAGGACAGTAACACACTCATGAAGAAGGAGAACAAAGTTGGAAGAGTTTATTAGATACACTCTATATAGTAACTAAGACTACAATAATTGGTGTGGCATTGGTGGTTGTGTAAATACATAGGTCAGTGGAACAGACGAAAAGGTCCAGACACAGACCCACACCTATGTGGGCACCTGATTTATAACAAGCTTTGTGCTGCAGTTTGGTGAGAAGGAATGGTTCTTCCAGTCACTGATGCAGAGTTAGCTAGATAACTGTATAGAAAAAAGGTTTAGACTTTCACTCTGTACAATAAAATTGATTCCTAATAGATTGTAGCTTGAATATAAAAAATAAAACAATGTGCTCCTGGAAGAAAGCATAAAATAATATCCTTGTGTCCTGGTGTAAAGGTAAAGATTTACTAAAGAGAACATAAAAAACACTAAACATAAATGAAAAGATTGATTCATGAGACCATTATAATTAAGAATTCTGGTCATTAAAGGACACCACTCAGAAAGCTAAAGGTCAAAGAAGATATTTGGGCTGGGTGCAGTGGCTCATGCCTGTAATCCCAGCACTTTGGGAGGCCGAGGCAGGCGGATCACGAGGTCAGGAGTTCGAGACCAACCTGGCCAACATGGTGAAACCTTGTCTCTACTAAAAATACAAAAAATTAGCCAGGCATGGTGGCACACGCCTGTAGTCCCAGCTACTCAGTAGGCTGATGCAGAAGAATCGCTTGAACCCGGGAGGTGGAGGTTGCAGTGAGCCGAGATTGTGCCACTGTACTCCAGCCTGGGTGACAGAGTGAGACTCCATCTCAGTAAATAAATAAATAAAGATATTTGAAGTGCACATAATTAAGAGAAAACTTACATTCAAATATGAAGGTAATACCTACAAGCCATTAAGAAAAACGACAGAAAACCCAATAGAAAAATGAGACTGGAATAGAAAAATCATATCCAAATGGCCCATAAATTGGTACACACAACCACTTTGGAAAATTGTATTTTATTAACTACCAAAACAGAACAATTGCATATCTATGATCCAGCAATTCTACTACTAGGCATATATTTAATAGAAATGTGTACATGTGTTTCTCAAAGACACATATGAACACATTAATAGCTGCTATGAATAGCCTTAATATTCCTAATAGCCACAAGTTGGCAACAACCCAAACACTCTTCAACAGGATGTTAGGTGAATAAGTCATGATGCATTTGCATAGTAGGATACTATACAGCAAACAAAATGAGTCAACCATTCTTACATACATTAGTATGGCTGGATATCACAAAAATAATATGAGGAAAAAGATACATAAAATTCAAAAATAGTGTTAGAAGTTAGAACAGTGGTTACTTTAGGAGAGAGAGATTATAAATGGGAGGAGGCACAAGAGTGGTTTCTGGGGTGCTGGTAATGGTTTTTCTGTTTTTAGTTTTAAAAATAATTTTTAGACCAGGTGCAATGGCTTATACTTGTAATCCCTACACTTTGGGATGCTGAGATGGGAGGATAGCTAAAGCTCAGGAATTTGAGACCAGCCTGTGCAAGATGGTCAGCCCTCGTCTCTACAAAATTTTTAAAAATTTAGCCAGGCATGGTGATGTGTACCTATAGTCTCAGCTACTCACGAGGCTGAGACAGGAGGATTGTTTGAGCTAGGAGGTCAAGGCTGCAGTGAGATGTGACCACTCCACTGCATTCTAGCCTAGGCAACAGAACAAGACCCTGTCTCGAAAACATAAATAAAAACAAATAAAAATACAATTTTTTATTTTTATTTTGAAAATCTTAAACCTGTAGAAAAGTTATAAAAATAGTATAACGAAAATCCTTACACTTTTTACCAGGATCACCAATTGTTAACATTTTGCTACATTTGCTATTTCTCTTTCTTTCTATATACACACGTGTGTGTGTACATATAGATATACATATGTTTTTTCTGAATCATTTGAAAGTTAGTTGGAGAAATCCTGGAACCCCTAAATATTTCTACATATATCTTCTAAGAACAAAGGCATTCTCCTATATAATCACAATATACTCAGAAAGTTTATGAATTACACAATCAGCTGTTATGCAATGCACATTCTATATTTCTTAATTATCCCAATAATATCATTGACAGTCTTTTATTTCTAATGCAGGACCCAATCAACGCTTTTGTTTGTATATGGTTTCCATGCATTTTAAGATCACTTTAATCTAGACTAGTTCTCTAGACTTCTGTTTTCTTTCACGATGTTGACATTTTTGAGGAGCCTGAGCCAGCTGTTTTGCAGAATGTCCCTGTATTCAATATCTATACAGCAGCATGACTGGATCTCACAAACATAAAAGTATGTAAAGTCAAAAATAGGCCCAAAATATGCTAAAATTAGTATATTGGTTTCTTTGGAGAGGATTTGTCTAATTGTTTTCTCATTATTTAAATAAAGTTCAATATTTTGGTAAAATTACTACAGAGGTGGGGTTGTGCTCTTCTCAGTGTATCACATCAGGAGGCAAGGAAGTCAGTTTGTCCCATGACTGGTGGAGTTGAATTTGATTATTTAACTTAAATGGTGTTTGACATATTTTTAAAAATTCTGTTCTCCAACAATATTCAACTAACAAATTTAGCATCTGATAATGATTGTTACCCAAATCAATTACTACAATGATGTTTATAAAATGATGTTTTATATTTCCATCATTCCATCTATATTTGTTAGTTAATTTTTTTGGTAAGGAAGAGATTTTCTCTCTTTACATTAAATAAAAAAATAAATTTACTAATATGGATTCACAGACTCTTTAATGAGCTATAAAATATTCCTATCTTTATTTGTTGCAATGCTTAAATTGCCCTAAATTTAGCTAGGAGTGAGTCTCTTCAGGCTGGCTCCTGTGTTCTGTTGACATAACTCTATCAGTTTTTAAGCACTTTCTTCTGGCACAAGATGTTCCATTGTTTACCTTTTAGGTTTCCTGTCCAGCCCTGGAATCAGACATTTCTTCAGGAGTTCCTGACTTCCCTTTCTTTCTTTCTCTTTCTTTCTTTTTCTTTCTCTTTTCTTTTTTCTTTCTTTTTTTCTTTTCTTTCTCCTTCCTTCCTTCCTTTCTTTTCTTTTTCTTTCTTTTCTTTCTTTCTCTCTCTTTTCTTTTTTTTTTTTCAGAGTCTCGCTCTGTCACCCAGGCTGAAGTGCAGTGGCGTGATCTCGGCTCACTGCAAGCTCCACCTCCCGGGTTCACGCCTCTGCCTCCCGAGTAGCTGGGACTACAGGTGCCCGCCACCACACCCGGCTAATTTTTATTTATTTATTTATTTTTTTAGTAGAGACAGGTTTTCACCATGTTAGCCAGGATGGTCTTGATCTCCTGACCTCGTGATCCACCTGCCTTGGCCTCCCAAAGTGCTGGGATTACAGGCGTGAGCCACCACGTCTGGTCTCCTGATTCCTCTTAAGGGAATTTAATTCTAAATTATGGGCATTAAGAGTGCTCAATGCAACTAAATGATTGTTTCTGGTCCCTTTCAGAAGGCAGTTATGAAATTCTGTGTGTGTGTGTGTGTGTGTGTGTGTGTGTATTTACACCACTACTTACAATGTCAGTCCAACACTGTGGTACTTCCTTGCCTCCCTCTGAGAGAGGAGAAAGGAAAAAAACCCAGTTGAGCTGACAGTTAAGGCAGGTACTAAGTAGAATTTTTTCAAACAGAGAAACAGCCTGAAAAATAAAGCTGCAGGCCAGGCGTGGTGGATCATGCTTGTAATCCCAGCACTCTGGGAGGCCAAGGCAGGCGGATCACAAGGTCAGGAGATCAAGACCATCCTGGCTAGCATGGTGAAACCCTGTCTCTACTGAAAATACAAAAAAATTAGCCAGGTGTGGCGGGTGCCTGTAGTCCCAGCTATTCAGGAGGCTAAGGCAGGAGAATGGCGTGAACCTGGGAGGCAGAGCTTGCAGTGAGCTGAGATTGCACCACTGCACTCCAGCCTGGGCAGCAGAGTGAGACTCCGTCTCAAAAAAAAAAAAAAAAAAAAAAAATCAAGCTGCAGCTGCACAGATATGGGAGCAAGCCCCAATAAAGAAATGCCTTTGTTCTTTGTATGATCAACAGGCTCCCAAGAAAAGGTTTCCTCCCTTTCTATGAACATGCAAATGGTGGGCTCCGTGGAAACTTGCATGTTGGGGGAGGCTTACCTGAGACATGCTGCAGCTGCACAGATAAGGGCAGTTACACAGACAGCTACACAGATAGGGAAAGTTTCTTAAAAAACCCTTTGTATTCAACTGAAAAAATGGCAATGCTTCTGGGCCCCCTGCTGTGGAGAGCTTTCCTCTTTTGCTTATTAAACTTTTGCTCCAACCTCACCCTTGGTGTCCACACTCCTTAATGTTCTTGGTTGTGAGACAAAGAGCTTGGGTAATACCTCAGACAACAAGACTGCAACACTGTGGCGTGTTGGCCAGGAAACGACATATTGGAATGGTGAGCAGGAGCTGACCTCCAACTCTTTACTTTCATTTCTGAGACTTCTCATTCTCAGTTTTTAAAAATTAAACAAAACACTGGAACCCTGTCAGCCAGTTAAAGATGAATAATGTGGCTGCCAGCCTTACAAGACTAAGGGGACAGACATGCTGGAGAGGACTTTGTCAATCCCCGATCACCCTCAGGTAGTGGGAATGTTGGCTCTGTTCCAATCCAGTTTCCTTTCATGGAGGGCCTAGCAATTGCGTGGGGCTGGAAGGAGGTCCTGGGGCAACTGAAGGTTTCTTGCCAAGGCTACACCTCAGTGTTACCTGAAGGCCCCTGGACTAACTCCAGTCCTCAGCAGGCCATCAGGGTATTGGCACCAGGACTTCCAGATTTTCTTATCACATTTTCTTCCTTTCTTTTTTGTAGCTTTCATGTCTCCTATCCCTTTTTTGTATGCTATATTAAGGGAGTTTTTACAGCCTGGGGAGATAATCTTGTTGGGTAAAGTTAGCAAATGTCTTAGTAACCAGGAATGTAACTCAAAGAATTGCTGCTTCTGTGATTTTCTTGGGATGGGGTGATTTCAAGATTTCAGTCTAAAAGTAAGGGCCTTTTTGTCAACCAGTGGTAGTCATTCATCGCACTGTATAGGGGGATATTTCACCCTGAGTGAATACTCTTTTCTCCATTTGGGTTGTTTTTTTTCCTCCATGTAAGAACTCAGCACTGCCCAATGAATTCAAAAAGTTCCTCCATGAGACAAATCAATTTTTTTCCTGCCAGTAGGCATATTGTGGGGACAGCCTACCAAGCCTCACACCTCTCTAACCTCTGCCTGGAAATAATTTGGAGTCAAAGTTTTAACCAAACATTTCAGTCTCTGCCATGCCACCTAGTGAAATGGAATTTTTCTTCATAGGGGGATTTATCGTCCCTTTGTCCCAAACCTCTAGTTCCCCAAATCCTTTCCCTCCTGCATCCCTCTATCAGTAGTCAGACCCCATGCCCTATTTATAGGCAGGTAAACTCCACTTTCAATAGTTGGGAGGAAACCACCCTAAAGAGACAAATTCTAGCTTAGTACTGTCCCCATAGAAGGCATGACAGCCATTTAATCCTTATGTTCTTTTGAGACACCTGTTCTACATCCAGCTACATTGCCATTTAAACAAAAGGGATTTTATGCTTAGAAATCCATTGGTTCCATTCTCTGTGAATTCAGTAGTCCATCAGAGCCATAGTAAGAGAAGCCAGGTATAGAGTCAGGACACTCCCTCCATTAAAGAGTCTTGCCCAAATCCAGTTACTGCACAATCTCTCCTGGGCTCATGGGGTACCTTGGAAGCCTTTTGGGTCGAGTAGGTTTGGGAAACCCAGAGACAGACAGAGAGCTAAGGCATCAAGTAGGTAAGCATGACTACTCCTGCTGACTAGCTCTTACAGATCGATGGGCGAAGGTCATGCTTGCATCAATGGGCAGCACCTATGATGGTTGCTGGGACCCAGAGGAGACAAAAGGAAAGAGGAGAAGGGAGACACCCTTTCTATCTTCCTCTCTACCCTGGGTCACTCTAATGGGAGGGAGAAGACTAAGGGACACCTTTCCCCCCCTCCCTTTCTAGATCTTCAAGCCTTCACTCCACTTGAGTGTAGCCTGGATCTCCTCTAACCCTCAGACCCTGAAGTTCGCTCTGGGAAAGCCCCAAATTCACTCATGTTATAGAGGTCTTCTAGGATTTAACCCAAGTATTTACACTCTCCTGGAAGGATGTTATATTACTCTAAATCAAACCCTAACTGCTGCTGTGAAACAGGAAGCCCTGCAAGCAACAGAGAAATTTGGAGATAAACTTTCTGTCTCATACAGTGCCAGGGAAGGGGAAGAGCCTTAATCAATTGGGAGAGTAGTAATGCCTTTGGAGGACCCTCAATGGGACCATGATAATAGCATCAGAGATGGAGAGGGAAGTTCTTTCAAATGTGTATTTTGGAAGACTTGCAAAAGACTAGAGCCAAACCTATTAACTACCTCAAGCTTTCCATAATAGATCAAAACTAGATGAAAATCCCTCAGCCTGTCTGGAAAAGCTGAGAGAAACGTTAGTGAAACATACCGCCCTGTCTCCCAATTCAACTGAAGGACACCTAATCTTAAATAACATATTTATTACTCAGGCAGCCCCTGATATCACAAGGAAATTGCAAAAACAGGCCCTGTCCAAAGATCTCTCTGATTTTTCTGACCGTCAAGTTGAAGTGTTGCAGTATGTCAATAACATTCTCCTCTGTGCCCCAACCAAGAAAGTCTCAGGAAGGCACTGAGGCTGTCCTCAATTTCTTAGCTAAAAGGAGATATAGGGTTTCAATATCTAAGACTCAGATTTCAGTAAAGTACCTAGGACTAGTCTTATCAGAAGGGACCAGAGCACTAGGTGAGGAAAAGATTAGGCCCATTTTCTCCTTTCCCCTACCCCAAATTCTTAAACACCTGAGGGGATTCTTAGGCATTACTGGATTTTGCAAACTATGGATACCTGGGTATGGTGAGATAGCTCACCTTTTATACTGTCTTATAAAAGAAACTGAAGCAGCTGAGATTCACTACCTGACTTGGAAACTTGGGGCTAAAGAAGCCTTTAACCAGTTAAAACAAACCTTAGGTAAACCATCAGCCCACAGTCTTCCCATAGGGAAGGCATTCGGTCTCTGTGTATCAAAAAGGAAGGGAATGGCCATGGAAGTTTTGACTCAGGCTCAAGGTCCAGCTTAACAGCCAGTAGGTTACCTAAGCAAGGATCTAGACTTGGTGGCTAAAGGATGGCCAGCCTGCTTCTGAGCAGTTGCTGTGGTGGCTTTGCTGGTGCCAGAAGTCACCAAGTTAACCATTGGGAATAAATGTATATACCCAACATAATGTGGTTAGAATTGCTGTTCTCTAAGGGAAGTCTCTGGCTAACAAATAATTGCCTCCTCAAATATCAGGCTCTGCTATTAGAGGGATCACAGTCCAGTTAAAAACCTGTCCTTGTCTGAACCCAGCCACTTTCCTCCCAAAGGAAACTGGAGAACCTGAACATGACTGTGAACAGGTAGTGGTGCAAACTTATGCAGCCAAGGAGGACCTCAAAGAAACTCCCCTAGAAAATCCAGAAGCCGGACATGCCAGCAAAAGGATAAAAGTTTTTTTTTTTTTTTTAACCAGTCGGACTTTTGTCTTCTTTCTCCCTGTGCAAACTGGTAAAAGGAGAGATAAGGATCACTGTTTATATTCTCTGCAAAGTTTTAATTAATGAAAAAGGATGTTCTTAAAGAGTACTCAGCTTAATTAAAAGTGGATATCCTTGGGAGGCTGAGGTGGGCAGATCATGAGGTGAGGAGAACGAGACCATCCTGGCTAACATGGTAAAACTGTCTCTACTAAAAAAAAAAAACAAAAAAAATTAGCCGGGCATAGTGGCAGGAGCCTGTAGTCCCAGCTACACAGGAAGCTGAGGCAGGAGAATGACATGAGCCTGGGAGGTGGAGCTTGCAGTAAGCCAAGATCACGCCACTGCACTCCAGCCTGGGAGACAGAGCGAGACTCTGCCCCCCACCCCCCCCAAAAAAAGTAGATATCCAAGTTATAGGTATATTTTAAAAAGCCTTGGCTGGGCACGGTGGCTCACACCTGTAATCCCAACACATTGAGATGCCAAGGCGGGTGGATTGCCTGAGGCCAGGAGTTTGAGATTACCCTGGCCAACGTGACAAAACCTTGTCTCTACCAAAAATGCCAAAAAAATTAGCTGGGCATGGTAGCGTGTGCCTGTAGTCCCAGCTACTCAGGATGCTGAGGCAGGAGAATCACTTGAACTTGGGAGCGGGGATTGCACTGAGCCAAGATTGCACCACTGCCCTCCAGCCTAGGTGAGACAGCAAGACTTTCTGTCAAAAAAAAAAAAAAGGGCTTTATGTTTTTTTCTTCTTGGATCTTGTTTTTCTGGAAAGGTTTTCTTTTCTTCTTTTTTTTTCCCTCAGTCAACTAAATTACTTTTCTCCACTGTTTCTTGCCACTCTTAATGCATGCATAAAAAGCCCTAGGACAACTTCTAATGGCCTGGGACTCCTTGGAAAAAAGAAAAGACGCCATGGATTCCATTTTGGGAGAAATCTCTATTTTCCTCATGGAACACCAGGAATTGGAGGTAAATAGATTCCTCTCAAAATCTGTTTTTGTATACCAGGTATGCCTGTTTATTAGGCCCTAGAAACTGCATGATTTCCTAGCCCTTCTCTTTAAGGGCTTCACCCTGAGGCTGGTAATCTAATATGGAGATTGATAAACAAACAAACAAAAAACCCTTATAACTGCTGCATCTTCTGTCTGTCTGTGTAGTCATATGTATTATGTGTATAATGTTTATATTTAAAAAGCTCTAATCAATTGGCTTAAAAAATAAGCACTTAGATCAAATATTTTTTGAAGGAAAAATAAAAGCTATAATGCATTTAGTTATGTCACTTTAATCTTTAAGAAATAAGACCAGTCTTAAAGACTATTAGTAAAATACAAATGTCTTCATATGTAAATATGTGGTTTAAATTATGCAGGTCAGATACTAGGTTTGCTAAATGTTTTAAGGTTGTAAACTGCTTCTTTGGTCTTTGAGAACTATTTGACTTGGCTGCTTCACAATTAATAAGCCCTGGGTACATATCAAATTTACCATGCCCTTAACTATGCTGGAAGGGGTCAGACTTTATCTGTGCCTAGTATATAATTAAAACAACTTACCAGGTTTTACATTAAAGTTAAAAATTGCTAAGAGTTACCATTATAACATGTAATTAAGATTACTGAAAATAGATTTACATGCAATGTATGTAAAAACAGTAAACTGTTTTTTAGTAAAAGATTATAAGAAGGTATGGAAATGTAAATTTCTGTCTAGGGTTAAAGGGTTGTTTTAGATTACAGTCATCATTTTGACTAAAATAAATAGCTTATAGTCATCTGGAATTGTATTTTGTAATGTCAAGTGCTTTGAACCTCTAACATATTTAACAGGCTTCCCAAAATCAAACTTCAGTTTCAAGGTTGTCTTTTCTAACCCCTAAGCTTTTGGATGCTACAGAGGGCCCCTGGAGCACCTAACAGGGAGGTAAACAGGATTATTTGTCATGTCTGGGTACGTAGAATTGTCTTTTTTTTTGAGACACAGTTTCACTCTTGTTGCCCAGGCTGGAGTGCAATGGCACGACTTCGGCTCACTGCAACCTCCACCTCCCAGGTTCAAGCAATTCTCCTGCCTCAGCCTCCCAAGTAGCTGGAATTACAGGCATGCACCACCACTCCTGGCTAGTTTTGTATTTTTAGTACAGACGGGGTTTCTCCATGTTGGTCAGGCTGGTCTTGAACTCCTGACCTCAGGTGATCCATCTGCCTTGACCTCCCAAAGTGCTGGGATTACAGGCGTGAGCCACCGTGCCCAGCTGGGATTGTCAAAATGATGTTTAGTATTCTTCAGGTTATATTTTAGTAAATAATATCAACATATATTCCAACATTGTATGGGATTTTAAAAATTATAATGTCTGAATATATGCTACCAACTATAATTAAGGATATTATGTTAAGTTATTGAAAACCACAGAAATAACCAAATTTGTCAATCATGTTCTTAACTGTAAATAACCAGGACATTTCGTCATTTCACAGACAATTGATGTCTTGTTTTGATCCTCTTCAAAAGATGGTTATAATCAGCTATAGGACTCTGACAGGTGCTCTCAAATGCAAGTATCTGATAACTTTGGAGATTATAAACATTGGAATAAAGTAAAAATGTACAGGACTAATGATGAGCTGAAATGTTCATGAATATTAACAAGAGTTAACAAAATGGACTGAACTAACAGAAAACTGAAGTAACCTTTTTAGCCTTTTTGCTTAAAACGTTACTGATCCTTGTTTTGTTTTTCAGTCAAGAAAACTTACCTTGAGCTATTTACTGCCTTCAATAATTGAGTAAGGTATATTCCTGTAAACAAAATTCGAAGCATGTTTGTTTATCTCTGCCTGGCATCTCCAGAATTTGGAAACTATTTGTGAGTATTCCTAAATTATGGCAATATACTTATTTGCATCAGTGCAATAAGAATCCATTTTCTTTTGCAACAAGACACAACTGGAGATACTGGTCATTTTACCAAGGCTTTGACCAGAATGGTGTGCTTCCCTTTAAGGAATCAAGCTTCACTTGCAGAGTCAATAAAAGCCCCTTGGAAAAACTAACCTCATACCTTGTCTACCTAGTCCCTGTACAGGGTTCCTAACCTGTGGTGAGTAAAGAATGTCACTTTCTAACAGGCCCAGGAGCCCCATATTCTTGGGACCTCAAGAAGAGAGGAATTTACCCAACTCATAGATATTTAAGGGTACAAACCCATGGGTGGGCTCAGGTTTAAAAGGTCTCATCTTAGATTTTTTTGTGGAGCACAGTTCCATCAAGGCCAATTTAAAAGCCTCTGTGAAGGATTGGTATTCTTGCTGCACTTTACACAAATAATCAGGCCAAGTATAAAACTAAAGTTTATTTTGCAAACAACTAAGCCTTATCATGATTTGTTTTAGAAAAAATGAGGACTGAACAGAGAGAAATTATGTTTCAAGACATATACACTTGTCAATTAATTCTAATCTCAGTTGTTTTTAAGTTTTTGTCTACATTATAGATTCACCTTGCTTATTCCTGTAAACCAACCAGTGATCTATGGCTGCAGCTCAGAAGAAACAAAAGGGATAGGGAATATAAATAATCTGGATCAATATTTTAATTCTGAGCAATTATCCTGCAAATCCTACCAGGTGATGGGAATAGATAGGGTGCCCATAACTCAGAGGTTTGTTTGTTTGGGAGAATAAGACCAAGAAACCTAACCAAAGTCAAGTCCCATGCACCCAAATCTTAACAGGCATAACTATAGCCACCAGTTACTTGGGAGTGTTGACAGCCTTGGGATTTTTGAGCTGTCCTTACCCCCACCTTGTTTTGTTTTGATACATGTCCTCTAATAATCCAAACTGTTTCTTCTCACTTAGAGGCCATTGAACTTCAAATGGTAATGTAAATGGAACCACACATGGCCACACCATTCTTCTGGGGACCCTTAAATTAACCTCAAGAGGAGCCTTGACTGTTATAGTCCCCCACACGATGCCACTATTTAGCCAGAATTAGCTAGAAAGATCATCACCCAACCTCCCTAACAGCAGCTGGGGTCTCCAGTCCTGAGTGGGGAAATGAGAGCAGAAAAAGGAAAAAAACACCCAGGTAAGCAGACAGTTAAGGCCAGTCCTCAGTAGAATTCTTTTAAACAGAGAAAAAAACCTGAAAAATCAAGCTGCAGCTGCACAGATAAGGGAGCAAGGCCCAATATAGAAACAACTTTGTTCTCTGTGTAATTGGTGGGCTCCCAGGGAAAAGTTTCCTCCTCTTCTATGAACATGCACACAGTGGGATCCGTGGAAACTTGCATGGTAAGGAGGCTTGCCTGAGACATGCCTGCAGCTGCACCGGTAAGGGCAATTACACAGACAGCTACACAGATAGGGGAAGTGGTTTTTTTTTTTTTTTTTTTTTTTTTTTTTTTTTTTTTTTTTTTTTTAATAAAAGCACCTGTATTCAACTGAAAAAAAGGCAACCCTCTCAGGTCCCCCTTCTACTGCAAAGAGCTTTCCTATTTTGCTTATTAAACCTTTGCCCCAGCTTCACCTTTGGTGTCCATGGTCCTTAATTTTCTTGGTCATTAGACAAAGAGCTCGGGTAATACCTCAGACAACAAGACTGCAACACCTCCATCCCATGTTTATATTTCCTGTCTTCCACAAATGGAACACTAGCACCCCCAAATATCAACATACAGGTTTTGTAAGCTATACCAAATTAACTTAAGTTCAATATCTAATTTTTTCCAATATCTTACTTTTTTCCTTAGAATATACACCACTGAGAGTTTTTTAATTCTTTGTAGGCATTGAATCAATGTAATATATCATTAGATTTATTGGTTTTATTTATATTTATTTTTAGGTTTATCTCCTCATACTTATTTTTTGGAAATGTAAAATATTAAAATGATTCAACTGTCAAGGCTACATAAAAATGTATACTTAGAGAATAGTCATTCCCTGCTCCATTCCTTGCATTTCATTGGCATCTACCCATGAGTAATGTTCTATTTCTTGATCTGGATGTGAGATTACACAGGTATATTTAATTCTTCTTATTCTTAGAGCTGATCACTTATTATTTGTGATTTTTTGTATGCTTCACAGTGAAAAAGTTTAAAAATACCAATGAGATGTGTCAGTCAGTATTCAATTAGGGAAGCAGAATCACTTAAGTATTATTGAATGAGAAATTGTTATAGGACTAAGACCATGCACAATTATAGGATGAGTTAGGGAAGATGGAGGATCAAAGAGCAGTCATTATCCAACCTTCCTAAAGCATGGCAAGGTGGACAAATTGAGATTGCAGGGAGCCCTGAGAATCCAAGCACATTCAGCTGCTGAAGTGGGGCTACAAAGAGTCTAGAGAAAAACTCCAAAGAAATTTAGCTACCATTTCTGTAGGTCCTCAGACAAGTATCTGGTGGTGGCTACTGGGGCTACTGCTAATGGACAGGGCTGGCCACTGGGAAGAGCTGAGCACAGAGCGAGGGAGAGCAGAATGAGCTGGAATCCACTGGTAACTGTCTGTATGTTGCAACAACAGCTGTCAGAGGGTAATGGCTGTGGCTTCTCTTCTACCTCCCAAATATCACTCAAATTCTTTTGTCCAACTCTAACCTGAATTTCGACGAGGAAATAATTCTGGGAAAGTAGTTTTAGCTATACCAAACGGACACGGTACAAACTGCCACTAGAGAGATGATAACAGTCTTAGGGCAGTGATTGTTGACGTGGAGAAAAGGAGAAAGACTAGGGAGATGTATATGAGTTAGAATTGATCAGATTAGTTAATAAATTAGATGCGAATAGTGAGGGAAAGCGAAATCTAAAATGACTCTCAGGCTCTAACTTAGACAGCTGTGTGGGTGATGGTGTCATTGACTGAGGCAAAGACTCCAGATGGAGAACGTGGAGATGATGGCTGCAGGGAGATAGGGCATTTAGTTTTGCCCATGTTGATTCTGAGAAGGTGGTGGGGCTTCCAAGTGAAGATATGCATTAGGACCCAAAGATATTACTATGTTTTTTAAATGGGCTTTTGCTTATGATGACGATTTATCCTCATTGTGACTGGATTTATCCTCCTATCTAAAATAGCCAAAAAACTGAAAAATATAGGAAACAACAGTTTCAAGACATTGGACATCAAGCAGCAAGGGACAGTGATCCCTGAGCAATGGAAAATAAATCCTATGAATGCTGCAATTGACTGCCTTGGGAAAGCTTCTAGGATACAGCACAGAGAAGAGAAACCCAGGCCAAGCCCTATGGACTCCAGGAATTAAATAGATGGAGCTCTGAGCCTTGAGAGATAAAGGCAGTCAGAGTTTGCTAAAGAGAATACTGGAGAGAAGAGAGATGCCCAGAGATAGAGAACTCTGGAGCTCTGCAGAGGATCATACTCAAATGCTCAGCTAGGCACTGATCAGCACATGCACATGAGGAAACTCTCCAGGGCCAAGGAAAGAACCATCTGAAAGGATAAGTGGTAACAATGCATGGTGTTCACACTGGAAATAGTACCTATTTTCACCAGCCAGACTGGAAAACCTCATGATTCATGGGGCACTGGGTAGAGAATACAGAAGTGCCTTGCCCTGTTTTCAAGCAGCTTGACTGAATTCCAGAACAAAGCTCAAGAATATCTATGCAAGTATTAAAATATCCAGCTGCCAACAAGATAAAATTCACAATGTCTGCAGCCAAAAATTACTAGGTATGAAAGAAGTAGGAAAACACCACCTACAATTAGGAGAAAAGTCAACCAATAGAAACTGACCCAAAGTGACACAGATGTTAGAATTAGAGGGAAGAACATTTAAAGTCATTATAAGTGCATTCTATATGTTCAAAAAGTAGTGGTATAGACTGAATATTTGTATCCCCCTCAAATTTGTATGTTGAAATTTTAAATCCAAAGGTGATGGTATTAGGAGGTGGGAATTTTGGGAGGTGATTAGATCATGAGGGCAGAGCCCTCGTGAACAGAATTTATGCCCTTATAGAAGAGGCCTGAGAGAGGACCCTTGTGCCTTCTGTGATGTAAGGTTACAGCAAGAAGATGGCTGTCTATGAACCAGGAAATGGGCCCTCACCAGACATGGAATCTGCTGGGGACTTGATCTTGAACTTCCCAGCCTCCAGAACTGTGAGAAATAAATTTCTTTATAAACTACTCTGTCTCTAGTAGTTTGTTGTAGAAATCAAGCAGTTTCATTGAAGCTTTAAAAAAATAGTATATAATAGGGGAAAAAACCAAACTATTTTCTTCTACTATACTCTCAACACTCCACATAAAACACTTCTGGTTAGGAAAATGCGGGGCTGTTTTTCCCCATAAAGCATTCTCCAATTTTCTACAAACACCAGCTAGGTGTTCTACAATTCAACTAATCTGACTCTATTTAAGTGGAGTTAGAATGAGATGCCACAGGTTAAGGGCTTAGTCACACGTCTGACCTCACTTCAGTTGCCGATTTTAAGTGCAAACTTCCAGTACTTCTGACAGGCTGGCTATAAATTGGGAGTTCCTATGACCTCCTTCTCATATTTGGTCTTTTGCTAGAATGGCTCACAAAACTCAGGGAAGTACTTACTTAAACTTACCACTTTATTTTAAGGGACATTACAAGGGATGTGGATAAACAGCCAGATGAAGAGGTACATGGAGCAAGGTACATGGGAATTGGCATGGGGTTTCCATGCCTTCTCCAGGCATACCACCTTTCCAGCACCTTCACATGTTCAGCAATCTGAAAACTCTTTGAAGGCCATCCTTTTGGGGTTTTATGCAGGTATATTTAAAGAGGCTTCACTGTTAAATCATTGGTCAATAGTAATCTATTCAACCTTCAGTCCCTCTCCCCTCCCTGGAGGTAGGGGGATTGGGCTAAAATTTCCAACCCTTTAATCACAGTTGATTCTCCTGGCAACTATCCCTGATCCTGAGGCTACCCAGGACCCCCCAGCCATCAGTCCTCTTACTACCATATTCACCAGACACTCATCACTTCAGAGATCCCAAGGATTTCAGGAGCTGTGTGCCAGGAAATGGAGGCAGAAACCAAATATGTATTTTTTTTTATTACGTCACAAAGACTAAAAGTGAATGAAAGAGATGAAAACTACAATGGTGAGTAAAAAAGACACTGTTTGATTAACAAAAGATTAGACATTGTAGAAGAATCATTAGCTTGAAACCATAGCAACAGAACTATTCAAAGTGAAATACCTACTTTTAAAAGAGAATTTTAAAAGAAAGAAAAAAGAACACAGCATAGTGAGCAGAAAAGAATTTCTGAAAGTTGGGGTGTAGGGCAGAAAAATATCTGAAAAAATAATGCTCCCCAAATTCCAAATTTTAGACCAACTCTACACCCACATATTCAAGAAGCTTAATGAAACCTGGGCACAAGAGATGTGAAGAAAATAACACCAAATTACATTACAGTCAAATTACTCAAAACCAGTAATAAAGCAAATCTTAAAAGCAGCCAAGGGCCGGGCGCAGTGGCTCACGCCTGTAATCCCAGCACTTTGGGAGGCCGAGGCGGGTGGATCATGAGGTCAGGAGATCGAGACCATCCTGGCTAACAAGGTGAAACCCCGTCTCTACTAAAAATACAAAAAATTAGCCGGGCGCGGTGGCGGGCGCCTGTAGTCCCAGCTACTCGGGAGGCTGAGGCAGGAGAATGGCGTGAACCCGGGAAGCGGAGCTTGCAGTGAGCCGAGATTGCGCCACTGCAGTCCGCAGTCCGGCCTGGGCGACAGAGCGAGACTCCGTCTCAAAAAAAAAAAAAAAAAAGCAGCCAAAGGGGGGAAAATGCTATGTACGGAAGAACCAAAATAATGACAAATATTTTATTGGAAACAATGCAAGCAAGAAAACAGTAGAGCAACATCTTTAGAATAGTGAAAGAAAAAGAAATCTCAACCTCATTCTATACTGAGTGGAAACACTTTTTTTTTTTTTTGGTGGAGCCTCGCTCTGTGGCCCAGGCTGGAGTGCAGTGGCACGATCTCGGCTCACTGCAACCTCCGCCTCCTGGGTTCACGCCATTCTCCTGCCTCAGCCTCCCAAGTAGCTGGGACTACAGGCGCCTGCCATCATGCCCGGCTTATTTTTTGTATTTCTTTTAGTAGAGATGGGGTTTCACCATGTTAGCCAGGATGGTCTCAATCTCCTGACCTCGTGATCTGCCTGCCTCAGCCTCCCAAAGTGACACCCTTTCAAAACAAATGTGAAATAAAAGCATGTTAGACATAATAAAGTTGAAAGAATTCACCACCAGGAGACTCACAGTGAGACAAATGTTAAATAAGTTCTTTAGGCAGAATAAAAATGATACCAGGCCAGGCACGGTGGCTCATGCCTGTAATCGCAGCATTTTGGGAGGCTGAGGCAGGTGGATCACGAGGTCAGGAGATCAAGACCATCCTTGCCAACATGGTGAAACCCCGTCTCTACTAAAAATACAAAAACAAGCTGGGCGTGATGGTGTGTGCCTGTAGTCCCAGCTACTCAGGAGGCTGAGCCAGGAGAATCTCTTGAAAGGAGGTGGAGGTTGCAGTGAGCCGAGATTGCACCACTGCACTACAGCCTGGGTGACAGAGCAAGACTCCCTCTCAAAAAAAAGATACCAGGTGGAAATGTGAATCTATAAAAGAAATACAGAGCATCAGAAATGGTAACTATGTGGGTACATCTATATACTTTTTCTTAAACTTTAGATCTGTTGAAAGATAACCAACTGTTTAAGCAAAAATAATAACAATGTAGTGTAATATTTGTAGCACATATCAAAGTATAATACACAACAACAATAACACAAAGTTTGGGAGGGGAGAAATTGAAGTATAACATTGTGAAGTTCCCAAACGTGCAATGGTATCATATCACTGGAAGATAGTCTGAGATAAGTTAAAGGTGTATAGTATAAACCATAAAACAATACTAAAATAACA
The DNA here is from genome assembly GCF_000001405.40 of Homo sapiens. Taxonomy (NCBI): domain Eukaryota; kingdom Metazoa; phylum Chordata; class Mammalia; order Primates; family Hominidae; genus Homo; species Homo sapiens. Next base: position 149,541,045 of record NC_000007.14, read on the forward strand.
CAACAAAAAGTTGTAGCTAATAAGATAACAAAGGAGGGAACGTGAAATCATTTAAAAATAATAAATATAAAAGAAGGTAGAAATGAGGAAAAGCGGAATTAAAAAACACATGAAACACACAGAAAGTACAAAGATAATATATTTAAATTTAACTATGTCATAAATCTCATTAAATGTAAATGGTTTAAACTCATATAAATGACAGAGATTGTCAGATTTGATTTTAAAAAATCAAACATCTACATGCTGCTCCAAAGAAATACACTTTTAATATAAAAACATAAACTAAAATATATAGCATGCTAACAGTAATCAAAAGAAAGCTGGATTATCTACATTAGCATTACAAAAATTGGTTTTTAGACGAACAAATATTACCATAGATGAAGATAGTAATTCCATACTGATAAGGGGTCAATTGATCAAGAGAACATAACAATCCTAAAAGTTGATGCCCCTTATTAACAGAGATTCTAAACACATGCAGTAAAAAAGTTTCTGTATTAATTTGATTAGGATAATGGCCTCCAGCTGCATCCATGTTGCTGCAAAGGACTAGATTTTATTCTTTTTATGGCGGTGTAGTATTTCATGCTGTGTATGTAGCACATTTCCTTCATCCAATCCACCATTGATGAGCACCTACATTGATTCCATTTCTTTGTTAAATAGGCTACTTTCAAGAAATGCATTTTATTTATTTGAGACAAGGTCTCGCTCTGTCACTCAAGCTGGAGTGCAGTGGCATGATCATAGCTCACTGCAGCCTCAACCTCCCAGGCTCAAGCAATCCTCCTGCATCAGCCTCCTGAGTAGCTGGGACTACAGGGGCAAGCCACCACATCTGGCTAATTTTTGTTCTGTTTTGTTTTGTTTTGTTTTGTTTTTGAGATGGAGTCTTGCTCTGTCACCCAGGCTGGAGCACAGTGGCGTGATCTCGGCTCACTGCAAGCTCCACCTCCTGGGTTCACACTATTTTCCTGCCTCAGCTTCCCAAGTAGCTGGGACTACAGGCACCTGCCACCACACCCGGCTAATTTTTTTGTATTTTTAGTAGAGATGGGGTTTCACCGTGTTAGCCAGGATGGTCTCGATCTCCTGACCTCGTGATCCGCCCGCCTCGGGCTCCTAAAGTGCTGGGATTACAGGCGTGAGCCACTCTTCCCGGCCTAATTTTTGTATTTTTTAAGAGACAGGGTCTCACTATGTTGTCCAGGCTGAGATGCATTTTAAACATAAAAATACAGATAAGTTAAAAGTAAACAAATACAAAAATAAAGACTATACAAACACTAATTATAAGAAAGCTAGAGAGGCTATATTATCAGACAAAGTAGACTTTATAATAAGAAATATTGGCCGGGCGCGGTGGCTCACGCCTGTAATCCCAGCACTTTGGGAGGCCGAGGCAGGCGGATCACGAGGTCAGGAGATTGAGACCATCCTGGCTAACATGGTGAAACCCAGTCTCTACCAAAAATACAAAAAAAAAATTAGCCGGGCATGGTGGTGGGCGCCTGTAGTCCTAGCTACTCGGGAGGCTGAGGCAGGAGAATGGCATGAACCCGGGAGGCAGAGCTTGCAGTGAGCCGAGATCGCGCCACTGCACTCCAGCCTGGGTGATGCAGCGAGACTCCGTCTCAAAAAAAAAAAAAAAAAAAAAAAAGAAATATTTCCAGTGATAAAGATGGACATTTCATAATGATAAAAGGGTTAATTTATTAAGAAGATGTAAGAATCTTAAGTGTGTACATGCCTAATTACAGAGTTCCAAAACACATAAAGCAAAAACAAAGGGAAGCATAAAGAAAATTGACAAATTCACAATTATAACTGGAGATTTTAGTACTTTCCTTAGTAACAAGTAACACAAACAAGCAAAAAAGTCAGTAAGAATATAGATTTAAACCACACTATTAACCAACTTATTTAAATTGCACTTATGTAACACAACATCCAACAACTACACAATACACATTTTTTTCAAGTGCATATCGAATATTTACCAACATAGACCATATGTTGGGCCATAAAACAAGTCTGAATCAATTTTAAAAGCTTTGGATCATACAGAGTATGAACATCTATGAATGTGTCTCCTGGTGCACATGTAGCAGAGTTTCTATAGGGCATATGCCCGAGAGAGAAATGAGAGTATATGCATGAGTAGCTTTACTAAATAATACTAAACTGTTTTTCAAAGAAGTTATACAGGTGTATGATATGCTCTTACCAGCAGTGTAGAAGAGCTCTCATTGGTTTACATCATTGGAGTAGAAAATGTACTCTGACACCATGGAGTGCCAGGAAATTTAATTTCTTACTAATTTGGTGACGGCTGTAACATGGTATTCCATTTTAAATTGCATTTACCTGATTACCACTGAGGTTAAGCATTTTGTATATGTCTAGTAGTCTTTCCTGTTACTTCTAAGAAATGCTTGTCAAGTTCTTTGCTTATTTTTCTCCTCTCCTTTTGGCTATTTTCTTATCAAGATAGTCTGTATTCTGGATAGAAGTCCTTTGTTGACTACCTGGTTGTGCCAGAAATTAAACTATACTGTCTCTTAGCTCTGAGCCCACCCTTCTTGACCCTGCTTACTGAGGCTGTGGCACTCTGCAAACTACATTTCTCATCTACCTGCTGGCTTCCTGCAGATTCTGCTGATTGAAGCAATAGATGAGGATGGGACGGCAGAAAGAGAAGAATGGGACATGCTTTTGTTCCATTTGTTGTTCCCATCAGCGCAGCCCCAGCAATGACCCTTAATGCTGGAAGCACTGGGTCTTGTGCCAGCTTTCTTATGGCACTCCTGGAACCACCCTCATTGGCAGCGCTCTACCTTGGAAGACCCACCTTCTGAGCTCCTGAGTTACTGGCACCAGCTGGGCAGCACCCCATCCTCACAAGTGTGAGGTCCAATTCCTCAGAGCCCCTGCTCCACAATTCTCTATTCTGATAACTGCAGCCTCTTCACTTTTTCTCTCAAAACTAGCAGGAGAAAGCTGCTTCCAGACGTTATTATCTCTGCATCACCTTGGGGTTCTCTTTGCCTTTCCATTTCATGAATGCCTATTTAACCAATACTTTATAATCAATTCTTTCTGTTGAAATGCCGAGTGTAGTTTCTGATTTCTTACTCTACCTTGGCTGATACAATGATTCACAAACCTCTCTTCCTGCTATGTGACTCACCTTTTCACTATCTGAGGGCTTTCAGAACAGAGACGTTTCTTAACTGCAATGAACCAGAATGGATTAATACATGGATTAATAAATCTTTTTTTATATTGTCTTAATTTGAAAATCCTTCTTCTACTCCAATATCATAAGAATTTTCTCATATTTTCTAAATTTGTTAAAAAGATTTTTTTATATTTAGGTCTTGAATCCTCTTGGAATTTATTTTGTGAATGAATATCTAATTGTCCTAGCACTCTTTTATCAGAGAGTACACCCTTTCTTCACTGGTCTACAATGCTGCCTCTCTCATATATCAGGTTTCTATCTATGGATAGTCAATTTTTAGAATCCCCATTCTCTTCATTAGTTTTGTTTGTGTACCCTTATGTCAATACTACACGGTCTTATAACATTATAAGTCTTCATATCTGGTAGCGCTGGTTTCCTTGCCTAATTATTTTTCTTCAGATAAACTCTACCTATTCCCAACTCTTTATTTTCCCACATAATTTTTAACATTAGTGTGTCAATTACTATAAAAATCACTATTAGGATTTTGATTGCAATTGCATTAAATCTGTAAATTTGGAGAGCAGTATCTTTACAAAATTGTCTTGTCCTATCCAAAAACAAAGCATACTTCTCTACTTATTTAAGTACCCTTTAAATATTTCAATGAAGCTTTAAAATAGTCTAAACAAAGGTCTTGTACAACTTGTATTTATTCCTAGGGAGCCTGTATTTTTGTTACTCTGTTAAGAAATTTCATTTCTGTTACAGGTGTGTGGAAATATATTTGATTTAAAATAAGTTTATTGTATAACTTATTTGAATTTATTAAAATTAATAATTCAGATAATTTGTAGATTACTTTGTGTTTTCTATATAACCACAGTGTCACTGAAATAATGGGTGTTTTGTTTCTTCTATTCCACTGAAAAACCCTACTTTTTTGGTCTTAAATGCACTACCTCTAGCTTTTGGTGGTTTTAAATAGAAACAAAGCTACCACGCATCTTTGTCATTTCCAGTTTTTAAGAGAATGCTTCTAACGTTGCACCATTAAGTATGACGGTTGCTGGTTGTAGACTTTTGGACTTTTTAGAGTCTTATTGTTTAACAAGAAGAATTTTAACATGAGGATTTCTTTTAATTCCTTCCTTGCCTTTTCCCTTTCCAATAAGAGAGGACCATTGTTGGGGGAGCCAGAAGACCGAGAGAGTAGCCAGTGACAGAGCTCCACGTGTCTGTGAATTGGCTCATCTCCTCCAGCAAGAAAGATGGAATCTGAGCTCAGAAGAGTATGCATGCTCAGGTTTGGAGAACTGAACACCAAATAGCAACAGAGTTCATTTGACTGGTGCTACCTCAAGTAATTTATATTAACTCTATTCTTAGTTATTAACCTTGCCAATTTTGCTGTCTTTACTTCCCCCAATAAATATTTATTGCATCCCAACTTTTATGCTCAATATTGTGTTTGGCACTGTAGAAAGACACAAAGAGATTGCATTTTCCTTTGTGAGCCTCTGTGCATTCTGAGCTTTGGTCTCCGTGACAGTTATCACAGGCACTGCCACCATCTCATGTGACCCTTTGGGTGGGTGTCCTTTCTCTACATTTTTGAGATCTGTATGGCCTTTTAATGTCAGAAGTGGCCTTAATGTAGGATGTTGGCCAAGGGCCAGGTTCACTTTGCAGGACCTGTGGTGCTGTGCCTCAGGGCAGGGGTCTGCCCAGCAGAGGAGACATTTCTGGTCCTTGCTGCTTCAGTTGTGCTTCTAGCCTGAGGCCCCTTGGGACAGCTGGGGAAGCTTCCTGAGCTCCATGATGGGATTCAAATAATTCGAATTATTGGTATGGGCTTTCCTGGGTTCAGTCAAGACCATGCAAAAAACCAAGAATAGTTGACATGAGAATAAAAAGAGAGGAGATGAGCAGAAAAGCCCCCAATTCTATCCACTGGGGTAGGGGTGAGGGTGGAAAGAAGGGACGTGGGGACACATTCAAGTTAGTGGACTTTAAGGAGGAGATGAAGGAAGAAAGGAGTGGCCCTGCTCTTGGCAATGATTCTTCAAGCAGGTGTCTTGGAAGTGGTCCTAAGACGAGATGGAAGTGAGCTGAGGAGGCTTCTAGGGGACCAAGTAGGGAGGGATTAATAAGGAAGAAGAGGGCCAAAAGGGCTAATTTGCTGTGAGGCAAAATGTCCAAATCTCTAAAACTTTCTAAGAGTCAACGTAAATTTCAGTGCATAGATGTGAGTGTTGCAACATAGGTGAAAAGGTATTTAGTAGAAACTCCTAGAAGCTGAGGGGGTATAGCTCAGGGGTAGAGCACTTGACTGCAGATCAAGAAGTCCTTGGTTCAAATCCAGGTGCCCCCTGGAAAGAGTCTCTTTTTAGTACCACATACCAATTGGTACCTTTAGGTTGCCCCAGGTCCTATGGCAGGTTGAGGGGAGGTTCCTGGGAAGGAAGTGGAGGGAGAAGAGATGGAAAGGAATCTAGTCATCCTTTGGGCTGCGGCAATGGAAAGTCCCAAAACTAGGAATGTGGTTCTAGCTATGATCTTGTTATTAAGGTGATGTGTGAACTCATGCAGGCCTTTAGTCTTTGTTTTTTCTTTCAGGCATATAACATGCAAGTATAGACTAAAATCAAAGTTGCCAAACATGTCTGAGAACCAGAATGACCTGGGAGGGTGGTCAAGTATACAGATGCCTTGGGTCCCACCTTGAGATTCTGATTTGTTAGGTGTGAGGTTTGATTTTTCTTTCTTTTAATCTTCCCACATCACAGAAACACCAGATGATCTCCTGGGCCGCAAAATTCAGCAAACACTTAGGAAGCAGATTCACCACGTACCAGTTATTAATCTGCAGTTTGTACCACTTGCTCGAGTCCAGTGATGCAGAACACTCACACAGCAAGTTAAGCAAAGCAACTTTATTCCTTACAGGCAGGCAAGGGACAACAGAAGCCTGGGATGTAGGGTGAACTGGTCCCCCAAGGCTCAGGAACCTGCCCAGGGCAGATGGAGTCTCACCTGTGTGTCCCACTTCACACTGCAGCTGAGGGACCCTGAACGCCCTCTGCTGTCAAGTTTTATACCCCAAGGGCAACTTGGATCATTGGGCTAAAGCGTTGCAGGACATCCTGTTCTAGGTGTGATGGGAACAGAGTCCAGGTTTAGGACAGTTCCTCCTTATCTCAGGACAACACTCCCAGTACATTCTCTAGTTATTCTGAGAACTACAACCAAGAAAAGAGGGAAGCACCGGGTTGGCCAAGGCCATCCGGAGACTTGTCCTGCTGGGTCATTTAAAAAGCTTTTCTAGGATAACGTTGGCTTTCCAAGTGGTTTTCCAAGCTGATGTCTTTCCCACTGAGGAGAAGCTGTAGGCCTGTGGACTGCCAGGTAGGAGGAGGTTGAGGTTTAGAGGAAAGAGGAGAGCAGGAATGGGTTGTTTGCAGTGGGGCTGTTCCCATGGACTCACCAAGAAGAAATCGAGGTGCTGATGGGGCTGCACAAGTGCTTATCAGAAACAGCTGTAACAAGTGAGGGGTGCAACTGAAGGTACAGCATTTGCCTGCAGGCCAAGCGGTCTCTGGTTCAAATCCATGTGCCTCCCACCCCCCTTCAGTTTTCTACTTATTGAACAAAAGCCTTTTCACCTCGGGTCTATTATACTGGAATCTTCCTGCAAGGAGAGAAGAGAGGATAGACAGCATAGAGCTTTGCCAGGAAGCCTCTCTAGTTTCTTGTAGGCCCCAGTGAACTTCTCCAGGCGACTCTGTCCCCTCATTAACCCTTATCCTCAGAGCCTTGAAATGGGCCCAATTGTCCCATAGAACTGATGTTTATGGTTTTTCTTGAATAAACCTAGAAATTGACCCTCTCAGTCTTGAAACCCAAGGAGAAATTTACATTTATGTCATCTGAATTCCTTTCTCAGGAAACCAGCCAGCAATCCTCCCAGACGGTATCAAGAAACTGAAATTTACCAGATCCCCACATCTGGAAAGTGAGAAGCCAGACCCCTCACCCATCATGATTCCCCAGGTGACCACCTGCTGCCTGTTGGCCAACTCCTCTTCCTTGCCCCTCGTTAATCCCTGTTTTCCCACATGTAGTTACATTTCTTCCCTGCTATATAAACCCCTAATTTTAGTCAGTTGATGATGATGGATTTGAGACTGATCTCTTGTTCACCCTGTCTGTAGCACCTGGATAAAGCCTTCTTCCCTGACAATACTTGTCTCAGTGACTGGCTTTCTGTGAGATGAGCAGCAAGACCTAGATGGAACCCCTGGTGTTTCCGCAACAGCCTTGCAACTTTCACTTTCCCTGTGGGAACGCTCATCTCGGCCATCCCCTGGAAGGGCGGGTAGGGAATTGACTCCTCTGGAATCCTCACCCCCAGGGACTGTGTAGCATAGGGCCTTGCCTGGAGCAGGTCCCATGGCTGCAGCTGCTCCACCCTGAGCTGCTCTGGCAGGGTCTATACAGAGTGAAGGAACTAAAGGAAGAGCGGTGAGGAGGGCTCCTAAGTGGCACAATGACTGCCAGGAAGTGGCTGTTATAGGCAGGGGTTTGCAAGCTACTTTTAGTCAGGAGGCCCCACACTATGCCCTGGGGCTACTTCCCTGCCCCTTCTGTGTTTATGAAGCCCCAGTATCTGCTTCATAAACACCAGATGTGCATGTGGGGGGCATCTGTCTCCCACCTGAGCAGAGGCTCCCAGTGCCCACTGGGGTGAGTGAGCTGCAACGTCTTCTCAGGGAGGTGAACAAGGTGAAATGCTGTAACACTGACTGTTGGAATCTGGGAGAAAGACTGAAAGAGGCAGTGGTTTCCCCTGTGTCTGAATGAGTGCTCAATTATTCCTTGTGGCAGCATCCCGCGGATGATCAGTTGTTGCTTGCGGGCTTTGTTATTTCAAGTCAATAAAACCACATCCTTACCAATAGGGAGACATCTATTCAATTCCCTTCTGCAAGCGGTATCAGACTTCCACGTGTGGGTTCGCTGCCTCGTTTTATACTAGTTGAAATTCTTATTTGGGACTCGGGGGACCTCTCTTGCCCAGCATGCCCTGCTGGGCTCACTCCATTCGGTCTCTCCATGGAGTTAAAAGCAACAACAGCTAAAAGCAAAGATCCGAAACAAACAAAAAATAATAATTACTTTTTAAACAAAGAAAAAAAAAGCAAAGATGTGAACCCAATTCTGCTTAATCCCTAGCAGATTTTTTCTCCCTGAACAAGAGTATAACAGTCCATAATAACATAATTGTAGCTGCAATCTGCTTACTCCCATAAAATATTAGCCTAAGAGACAAACACTGCCACTTTCTAAGGTGCAAGTCAATTTCTTTTCAAGTTTTGAAGAGTGTAGAAGTTGGAGCCTCATGTAGGAAGCCTGGCCTTGCTCTTGCAGTGCTACAGGCAGGAGCCGTGCAGGCAGAAGGAGCCTCAGCAGAGGCCAGCATCAAGTGCGGGTCCTGGAGTGCCTGAGGACGGGGAGCGTGGGGAGTGGAGCAGGGAAGGTGGTGCAGGGAGTAGCAGGGGAACAGGATGCTAAAGATGGAAGGGCTTTATAGTCACCACACAGAATTTGGTTCCATGCAATGCAGCTCAGAGCTACCCTCCGTCCTTTTTCAGCTCTCCAGACTTCTTTTTCCCCTATGACTTCTACCCACCAACTTGCAGTCAGAAATGCGGATATAACTTTTGACTCCCCTGAAATGTAACTACTAATAGCCTACTGTTGACTGGAAGCCTTTCTGATAACATAAACAGTCAATGAACACATATTTTATATGTTCTATGTGTTATATACTGTATTCTTAAAATAAAGCTAGAGAAAAGAAAATATTAAGAAAATCATAAGGGAAAATTTATTTCCTATGGAATAAGTAGAAGTGAAGTGAATCATCATAGAAGTCCTAATCTTTGTCATCTTCACAGAGTAGGCTGAAGAAGAAAAGAGGGGTTGGTCTTACTGTCTTGGGGGCAGCAAAGATAGAAGACAATCTGTCTGTTAAGTGGACCCACAGTTCAAACCTGTGTTGTTCAAAGTCAACTGTAGTTTTACTTATAGACTTTACAGATTCAGGACCAGGCTTCCTGGGTCAAAGTAATGGGAAGTGCAGAACCACCTTTGCTGACTAATGCAAGCCCAGATGAAGGGCGCTTGAACTGGAAGCAAGGCCTCCTAGTCTGCACTCAGCTACTGCACCCTGGCACTGGCACCTGGGCTGGCTGAGCAGTATCTCTGACTCTGGAAGCTGAGTCCCACGCTCTTGTTGCCTGCGGCTCTTTCTTCACACCCAGAGTGGCTCTGGTTTACTAGCAGGCCTGCTCCCCTACTAAGAGGACACCTTGCTTCCCTTTCAGTCCCCTCTTCTGGCCATTTCAGCCAGCCCTCCTCAGCCTGAAGTCTTCAGCTCCTTGGAGGGCAGGTGGATAGAGAAGCTAGAACCACTTCCTCAGATCTCACTTGGGCTTTTCTGGTAGCTAGGGAGCTACTGTAATTTAAAAATCAGCTCACCCTCTGGGCGTGTCTCTCTGCAGAAGGTACGTGCTCTAAGAGGCGGTTTGTGCATGTGTTGCTGAAGGGGACTTAGGAAGTGCTTACCTTTATTCGAGATGATGGGGAATCTTCCAGACCAGGTATGACCACTGGGAAAAGTGACTGTCTGGAAAGCTGGGGTTGCCTAGAAACATATATGAAGGGGAAAGGTACTGTGACTTGGTGTTTGTTCCTCCCAGCAGGACCTGAATAATCCCTGGGGAGGGGGCTCTGCTGTTGGGCAGGCAGAGGACAGGACGCTCTGGCCCAGTGCAGCAAACACTCCAGGGGCTGCAGGCCACCTCCACCCTAACATCAGCCTTGCTGCAGAGCCCCCTGCCTGTGCTGATGTGGGAAGGGGTCCTGATTAGGGAGTGTGAATAGTCCTGTAATTGGGAAGATCTAGAGTTGTGAAATAATGTTCATTTTTTGAAATTGTGGCTTTGGGTGAAATTCAAACATTGCAGAAAGGTGAGACCTAAACATGGTACTTATGCTGAGACTCTGCTTGGGGGGCCCACCTGAGCAGCCAGCCAGCCCCCACCCTGATGATATTGCCACTGGATTACAAGGCATGGAGTGTCTCAGGCTTATCACAGGTAGGGGTGAGAATAAAACAGGAGTCATGGGCTTTGCATGGAGATACAGAAATAATCAGACAACTGAGGTCTCTGAAGCCTCAAAAGGACTGTGACTTTTGACATCACTAACGAAGTTTTAGGACTCAGGCCTAGACCACCCCTTCTCTAGCAGGAGTTCATTGATAGCTGACCTGATCAATGGCTTTACTGTTCTTCTACAAACACCTGTACCATATCACTCGTAGTTTCCGATCACTAATCACTCAACATACTCATATCTTTTATGGCCATTCTTTGTGCGTCTTTTCAGCTTCCCCCTCTGCTGTCGGCTCCTCTTCCCTTTCTTGGTGTCTGTTATGTTAACCATCTTGAAAAGAGAGAATCTGATTGGTTATTAACCCTGTGTGGGCAGAACTGCAGGTCACTGGTTCACTTGCATATTAGCTGGAAAGAGAGGAAAACGTCAAAGAAACTAATTAATATTCTGAGAGAAATATGAGAAAATATTCCATCTGTTAAACAAGACACATAAAAGGGTCAATTATAGAACAGATAACTTAGAAATTAAGAAAAAAGGATAGAAGATATAAAAAATTAAATAGAAAGTTTGAAAAATAAAGCTGAGGCAGCTTCCCAGAAAGTAAAATAAAACAAAAAGACAAAGGAAAAGATAGTAAGAGAGATAAAAATAAGAAAGTTAGAGGTTAAAACCAAGATGTGTAAAAACCAACTAACAGGCTTGGCACTGTGGCTCACACCTATAATCCCAGCACTTTGGGAGTTCCAGGTAGGAGGATCACTTGAGGCCAAGAGTTGAAGACCAGCCTGGACAACATGGTGAGATCCCTGTTGCTACAAAGAAAAAAAAAATCAGCTGGTCATCGTGGGGTGTGTCAGTAAGCCTAGCCATTCAGGAGGCTAAGGTGGGAGGATTGCTTGAGGTCAGAGGTTCAAGTTTATCGTGAGCAAGACACTGTCTCGAAACAAACAAAAACTAATAAAAGTCCCAGAAAGAGAACATGATGGAAAGGACATTATACAAGAACATTACTCGTAATGAAAGGACTTGGCTATGCATTAGAAAAGATACTTCAAATGCCCAACAAAATGAATAAAAAATTATCTTCATCGAGTACATCATAGTGTGATTACAGAATACCAGGACAAAAGGGAAGATCTTCAAAACTTAAAGAGTGAAAGAAACAGGTGATATACAAAAGATAGAGGATCACAATGGCACTTGACTTTTCTATAGCAATACTAGACACCAGAAGATAACAGAAACAATCCTTCACAATATGAAGGATTATAAGTTGAAACTAGAAATCTATGTCTGTCCAGACTGCTAATCAAGTGTGTAGGTGGAATTATGGACATTTCGAGGCATGCCAGGTCTTAAAAAATTCACCTCTACTCACCATTCCCAGAAAACAACTGGAGGACATCCTCTGCCAAAATGAGGAAGTAAATTAAGAAACATTCAAGACATGGAATCCAGGAGAAAGGGACTTGCACACAGGAGACAAGAGATGGAAAGAATGTCCTGGTGAGGGTGGAGGAAGTCCCGGGGCATGGGCTGAGCAGCAGGCTTTCCAGGGCAACCAGAACAAACAGAGCAGGAAGCCAGAGATCTACTGGAAAACAAGAAGTGAAAATGTTAATTATGTAACAGCTTTTACAGTGTGGTAAACTGACTTGACAGGCATTTCATGGAGCAATGAAAGGTTGTGGAAAACCGTAGATATTCCAAGAAAACCAAGCCGTTGAAAATGTGAGGCTATCAGTAACTTGAGGGGAAAAAAAGTTCCATCAGAACTCTTAGTTCAGCTTAGGATTATGTACATTGGGCATAAACACTATTAACTAATCATAATAATTAAAACATGGAAGATAAAATTGAACAGAAAGTAAATATATAGCATTTTATCTGAGAAGTTGATATATAGTAGGTATATTGGAAAACAGAAAAGAAGGCACATGGGTGATAATCCTCACCTACAAAAATAAGTCAGCTCTCCCTCTCCCTCTCCCTCTCGGTCTCCCTCTCCCTCTCCCTCTCCCTCTGGTCTCCCTCTCCCTCTCCCTCTCCCTCTCGGTCTCCCTCTCCCTCTCGGTCTCCCTCTCCCCACGGTCTCCCTCTCCCTCTCTTTCCACGGTCTCCCTCCCTTTCCACGGTCTCCCTCCCTTTCCACGGTCTCCCTCTGATGCCGAGCCGAAGCTGGACTGTACTGCTGCCACCTTGGCTCACTGCAACCTCCCTGCCTGATTCTCCTGCCTCAGCCTGCCGAGTGCCTGCGATTACAGGCGCGCGCCGCCACGCCTGACTGGTTTTCGTACTTTTTTGGTGGAGACGGGGTTTCGCTGTGTTGGCCCGGCTGGTCTCCAGCTCCTAACCGCGAGTGATCCGCCAGCCTTGGCCTCCCGAGGTGCCGGGATTGCAGACGGAGTCTGGTTCACTCAGTGCTCAATGGTGCCCAGGCTGGAGTGCAGTGGCATGATCGCGGCTCGCTACAACCTCCACCTCCCAGCCGCCTGCCTTGGCCTCCCAAAGTGCCGAGATTGCAGCCTCTGCCCGGCCGCCACCCCGTCTGGGAAGTGAGGAGCGTCTCTGCCCGGCCACCCATCGTCTGGGACGTGAGGAGCCCCTCTGCCTGTCTGCCCAGTCTGGAAAGTGAGGAGCGTCTCTGCCCGGCCGCCATCTCATCTAGGAAGTAAGGAGCGCCTCTTCCTGGCCGCCATCCCATCTAGGAACTGAGGAGCGTCTCTGCCCGGCCGCCCATTGTCTGAGATGTGGGGAGCACCTCTGCCCCGCCGCCCCATCTGGGAGGTGAGGAGCGTCTCTGCCCCGCCGCCCCGTCTGAGAAGTGAGGAGGTCCTCCGCCTGGCAACCGCCCCGTCTGAGAAGTGAGGAGCTCCTCCGCCCGGCAGCCACCCCGTCTGGGAAGTGAGGAGCGTCTCCGCCCGGCAGCCACCCCATCAGGGAGGGAGGTGGGGGTCAGCCCCCGCCAGGCCAGCCACCCCATCCGGGAGGGAGGTGGGGGGGTCAGCCCCCACCGCCCGGCCAGCCGCCCCATCCGGGAGGGAGGTGGGGGGATCAGCCCCCCACCCGGCCAGCCGCCCCGTCCTGGAGGGAGGTGGGGGAGTCAGCCCCCCACCCGGCCAGCCGCCCCGTCCTGGAGGGAGGTGGGGGGGTCAGCCCCCCGCCCGGCCAGCCGCCCCGTCCAGGAGGTGAGGGGCGCCTCTGCCCAGCTGCCCCTACTGGGAAGTGAGGAGCCCCTCTGCCTGGCCAGCCGCCCCGTCCAGGAGGGAGGTGGGGGGGTCAGCCCCCCGCCCGGCCAGCCGCGCCGTCCGGGAGGGAGGTGGGGGGACAGCCCCCTGCCCGGCCAGCCACCCCGTCCGGGAGGGAGGTGGGGGGGGTCAGCGCCCCGCCCGGCCAGCCGCCCCGTCCGGGAGGTGAGGGGCGCCTCTGCCCAGCTGCCCCTACTGGGAAGTGAGGAGCCCCTCTGCCTGGCCAGCCGCCCCGTCCGGGAGGGAGGTGGGGGGGGTCAGCCCCGAGCCCGGCCAGCCGCCCCGTCCAGGAGGGAGGTGGGGGGGTCAGCCCCCCGCCCGGCCGGCCGGCCCGTCCGGGAGGTGAGGGGCGCCTCTGCCTGGCCGCCCCTACTGGGAAATGAGGGGCCCCTCTGCCTGGCCAGCCGCCCCGTCCGGGAGGGAGGTGGGGGGGTTGGCCCCCCTCCCGGCCAGCCGCCCCGTCCGGGAGGTGAGGGGCGCCTCTGCCTGGCTGCCCCTGCTGGGAAGTGAGGAGCCCCTCTGCCCGGCCAGCCGCCCCGTCCGGGAGGGAGGTGGGGGGGTCAGCCCCCTGCCCGCCAGCCGCCCGTCTGGGAGGTGAGGGGCGCCTCTGCCTGGCCGCCCCTACAGGGATGTGAGGAGCCCCTCTGCCCGGCCACCACCCCGTCTGGGAGGTGTACCCAACAGCTCATTGAGAACGGGCCGGGATGACAATGGCGGTTTTGTGGAATAGAAAGGGGGGAAAGGTGGGGAAAAGATTGAGAAATCGGATGGTTGCTGTGTCTGTGTAGAAAGAAGTAGACATGGGAGACTTTTCATTTTGTTCTGTACTAAGAAAAATTCTTCTGCCTTGGGATCCTGTTGATCGGTGACCTTTTACCCCCAACCCTGTGCTCTCTGAAACATGTGCTGTGTCCACTCAGGGTTAAATGGATTAAGGGCGGTGCAAGATGTGCTTTGTTAAACAGATGCTTGAAGGCAGCATGCTCCTTAAGAATCATCACCACTCCCTAATCTCAAGTACCCAGGGACACAAACACTGCGGAAGGCCGCAGGGTCCTCTGCCTAGGAAAACCAGAGACCTTTGTTCACTTGTTTATCTGCTGACCTTCCCTCCACTATTGTCCTATGACCCTGCCGAATCCCCCTCTGCGAGAAACACCCAAGAATGATCAATACAAATAAAAATAAAATAAAATAAAATAAAAAAAGGGGGAAAAAAAATAAGTCAGCTAATGATGTCTAAATTTGATTAAATTAGACATACCATATTATGACATATTTATATTACTTAAAATTATAGAGGCAAATAGACTAGAAGAAACAGCCAAAAGGGTGGAGAGTGGCTGCCTCTGGGTGGCAAGAGGAAAATACAAAAGACTGAGGTTTCTTTTATTATAAGCTTTAAAAGCAATATTTGACTTTCAAAAATAGTTGCACAAGATACTTAGATGAAAACAAAAATATGTATAAGGTTTAAAATAGCCATGCACTGAGAATGGGGGTGTAGTTCAGGGTAGAGCTTTCCACACTAGCAGCGGAGTTTTCTGGCCAAAACCTGGAGGAGCTGTGTGGTCCTCATGCTATGTTGTCTCCATGATGCTTCCCAGGACTACTCTCTGATCCATGTCAGGGCCTGGGAACTTCCCTGTTTCATGAACTGGATTTAATGGACAGATTCCAGATTGAGAGATCTTCAGATGTCGGTATTGCATGTCTCAATTTGTGTCTCCAAACTGCTATTTTGTAGTGTAACAAGAAGAAATCAGACATGTAGACCTAAAGGCTGTTCCAGCAGTAAACGGAAACACTCCTCCCAGCTGCTCCTGTCACCACAAACTGAGGGAGGGCAAGGAGATGTGCCGGCATGTGAGCAGGGTCCAGGGTTTGGGAATTGGGGATGGACTTTTCTGGGGTGAGTTTATGGTAAAATCAGTTGCTGGTCTTACTCTCTAAAAGTAAGCAGGAACTTTCAATGTGCTATAGGACTGCTGGGTGCGATTACCAACATGAAAGGTGCTTATTAGACACTTATGACAAGCAGGGCGTATAGCTCAGGGGTAGAGCATTTGACTGCAGATCAAGAGGTCCCCAGTTCAAATCTGGGTGCCCACTGCACTTTTTCTATTCATACAAGCTGTTATGTTCTTCACAGAAGCTGTTGGTCATATTCCAGTTTCTTTTCATCCATTCCGCCTATGATTTTCCCTGGAACTGGAAGCTACAGCTCAGGCCTACCCAGCTGCAACCTGCCTCCATGCATAACTTCTTTTCATCTCTTCCAGCACCAGTTCCACGGGTATCCCTCATATTATTGGTATTCATGGTATCTAGCTCCCTGCTCCCCCTATAGATGTAATTTCTCAAGCTGTGATGCAGTATGCTTCTGGGTTTTTCCAGGGCAGACCAGAGAGTAGTACTGCAGCAGGCTCCCCCAGAAACAGATGGGGAATGGTACCCCAAGCTATCACTCTCCTGGCTCCTTCCCACAGCAGCAGTTTGGTGCACTGGAGTGGTGGCCAGACCTGGGGAGACACATCACAGCACACAGCATTCCCATGGAGGGCAGATGTTTCCCCTGGAGAATTGCTCCCACGCAGGGCTCACTCACACCCTTGCTTCAACCTTGTAGGCCAAAAGCCTGGCTCAGCTACTCTAACAAGGGAGACAGAGGCTCTGCAGTGCTGCCCCTACGACCAAACTCCTGTAGCTCTGCGGCTGCACGTGAATTACAGCCCACTCTGTGACTGTGGCCCAAGGCTTGGAGGTGGGGGATTAGACTCAAGAGTCTGTTCGTATGAGATGATTGGGAATTCCAACTTTGTTCTGTGGGCCACAGGGAGTCCTGTGTGCTGCAATGAAGAACCAGGTCAGGTCCTTTGTCTAAGGAGGTCATTTAGGAGACATTACAGATACTGGTTTGGAGTTTGCCGAAAGACAAGAACAGGAACTGGTGTTATTTTTTGAACACCTACTATGCCCTACTATGTGCTAATATCATGCTAGGCAGTTTATCATCAGTCATCATATTTGTCCACTCTGTCTTTACTGCAGGAAAAAGGAATTTGGGCTGGGAGGTCAGATTGGAATCTGTGGACTGTTTTGGAGACCAGTGGCCGGCTCTTGGGTTAACCCCAAAAAACAATGGGAAATGGCTGGGGGTTCCACAGGCAGCCTCCATCCTTTTCTCCTGTTCACGGCTCCACCAGAGACAGGACTGGTGAGCTGCAGAGCTGAGGGAAGGTGTCTAGCTGTGAATCAGGTCTGGCAGCTTCCAGAAAGTCAGTCCTAGAGGGAAGCCATTATTTAATTTTACAAAGCTGAGTGCTCCCACACTGATGAAAGGTATTAACTAGGTAACCTCAGTGTGCCATGGGGGTATAGCTCAGGGCTAGAGCTTTTTGACTGTAGAGCAAGAGGTCCCTGGTTCAAATCCAGGTTCTCCCTTCTGTTAAGTTTAATTTTGGTAGCGAACTTTATCCACATACAGCTTAGATTGGCATGGGCCACACTGATGTTCCTTCTATCTGTATAGGGTTTACCTCAATCCATTATAATCATCCAGATGCCCTGAAGGCTGCCTCGTCTTGGAATCCCCCACCTCATTAGTACAGTGCACTCAAAGCAGGTCTCAGGAATTGCTCAGTAGATAGCACTTCCAACCTCCCTAGCCACTCCCTCCATGCTCCTCCCCTCCAGACCCTCTCTCTACCTTCCATCCCATACTCCTGGTCAAGGAGAAATGGTGCTTGTTTTGGTCCAGAGCCAGCCACAGAGTGCAGAGCTGCATTTCTGAATTCTTAGAATTGGCAAGCTAAGGTTTGAGGGGTAGGGACTTCAGTCTCATGAGGCTGTGCTAACAAGGACAAGTACAACCTGGAGGGGAATACTTGAGGAGGCTGAGGCTGTCAGGAGAGTCACAGTAGTCACAGTCACTTACTCATTGAATGTCACCTATTGAAGAGGTGCCAAGCAGTTTGCCCCGCTCTGGAATTACGAAGATCACGTGTTCCTTGCATACATCTGGCAGCAGTGGGAAAACCTCAGAGTTCCTGTGGGATGTCTGATTTCTATTCCAAGAGGCAGGCTCTCCTGGATGCTTGCTGGGGCGTGTGAGGTGAGTGACAACTCGCATAAGTTACTCAATCTCTGCTGGGCCTCAGTTTCTGCATCTGTCAAATGGAAGACAATAATCGTACCACCTCAGAGGTTTTCTTGGTGAGGGTTTAGAGCACACAGAACAATGCCTGGCTGTGTCTGGTGGCTCATGCCTATAATCCCAGCACTTTGGAAGGCCGAGGCAGGCGGATCACCTGAGGCCAGGAGTCTGAGAGCAGCCTGGCCAACATGGCGAAACCCCGTCTCTAATAAAAATACAAAAGTTAGCCAGGCATGGTGGCGGGTGCCTGTAATAACAGCTACTCAGGAGGCTGAGGCATGAGAATCACTCAAACCCAGGAGGCGGAGGTTGCAGTGAGCCAAGACTGTGCCACTGCCCTCCAGCCTGGTTGACAGAGGGAGACTCTGTCTCAAAAACAAAACAAACAAACAAACAAACAAAAAAACCACTAAAAAAACAGTAAGGAGTCGGCATGGAGATTTGAAACAGAGAGATTTTTTAGTCTGTAGTCTCATGCACTAGATCCAAGCCATTGACATGTCACTCAACAGGTGAATGACTGTATTTTTCTGACTAGTCCCTTCCCTCCCTTCCCCTCCTCTCCCTTGTCTTCCCTTTCCTTTTTCCTTACATCTCCTTTTCTTCTTTCAAGAGTCTCACACTCAGCTCAGGTCCAGCTCAGACTGGAGTACAGTGCCATGATCACAGCTCACTGCAGCCTCCAACTCCTGGGCTCCAGCAATCCTGCCACCTCAGCCTCCTGAATAGCTAGGACTACAGGCACGAGCAACCATGCCCAGCGAATTGTTTTTAATTTTTAATTTTTTATAGAGACAGAGGTCTCACTCTGTCACCCAAACTACAGTGCAGTGGTATAGGTCACGGCTTACTGTACCCTCAAACTTTTGGGCTCAAGCAATCCTCCTGCCTCAATCTCCCTAGTAGGTAGGACTACAAGCCCGTGCCACATGTTCAGCTCATTTTTTTATTTTTTAATTAATAGAGATGGGGTCCTGCTGTTTCCCAGGCTAGTCTAGACCTAGCCATCTCAAGCAATCCTCCCGTCTCAGCTTCCCAACAGCTGGGATTACAGGCATGAGAAACCACGCCCAGCCATAACTAGTATTTCTTCAGTGTTGAAACCACAGCTATGACATTGCCATCTTACATCAGCAGGGTTGACCCACCCCATTGAAAATGTGTCTCTCTTCCTGCTGCCTACTCCCCTTCCACCAAGGCCACGGAACCCTCAGCCAGCAGCCTTGCAGCCTCCTCTCCCTCATCTTTCTCCCTCTGGGTGAGAACAAAACTCCAGAGAGCTATTGACCTATACAGAGTCAGCAGTCAATCCCCTCAATTAAATTTCTCAAATATTTAGTAATCAGGAGGCCAGTCTTTGTGGGAGGATACAGAGATGAGTGAAATCTAGCACAAGTCATCCCTGTTCTCTCTTAGAAGCTCTCGATTTAGTGAGAAAAAGTGATGTGCAACAAAAAATGATATTAGCTGTGATAGAAAGCAGTGTGGACTACAGCCGGGATACCTCCGGGTGTGGACTTAGTGACAGCTCTGCAGACAGTGAGCGTCAGTGGGGTCTTGAAGGTGAGTGTGTGGGAAGGGCATGCCAGCCAGAAAACGCAGAGGAACAAAGATGCAACGTTGTTGCAGTGCTTTCTGGGTCTAAAAGAAAGACCCAGGTGTGTGTGCCTGGGTGTGTGTGCACCTGTATGTGTTCATGCTTGCAGGTGTGCCTGCTTGCATATGGAGTAGATTGGAAGTGTTTGTGTGATGAGTGTGCAGAGCAGGGGGTGGGAAGACTGTGACTGCAGCCTAAGGCTTGGAAGCGGGTGACTAGACTCAAGACTCTGCATGTATGAGATGTTTTGGAATTCCAACCGTTCTTTTTTTGAGATGGAGTCTCACTCTGTCACCCAGGCTGGAGTTCACTGGTGCATTCTCAACTCACTGCAACCTCCGCCTCCCGGGTTCAAGTGATTCTCCTGCCTCAGCCTCCCGAGTAGCTGGGATCACAGGCTTGTGCCACCACACACGGCAAATTTTTATATTTTTAGTAGAGACGGGGTTTCACCATGTTGGCCAGGTTGGTCTCGAACTCCTGACCTCAGGTGATCTACCCACCTCGGCCTCCAAAGTGCTGGGATTACAGGCGTGAACCACCGTGACCGGCTGAATTCTGAGTTTGTTCTGTGGGCTACAGGAGTCCTGTGCCCTAAAATGAAGCAACCAGGTCAGGTCATTTGTTTCAGAAGGTCATTTTGGAGACACTACAGAGAATGATTTGGAGTTTCCCAAAAGACAAGGACAGGAAATGGTGTTATTTTCGGAACCCCTGTTATGTGCTAATATCACACTAGGCAGTTTATCGTAAGTTATATTTGTCATAAGAAATGTTATCTGTGTTTAAGAAGAAGAAACTGAAGCTTATAGAGTTAATTACCCTGCCCAGTGACACAGAGTAAGGAAAGGAATGCAGAGGAGAAAAAGGGATTCCAGAGAAACTTTCAAGATAAAATATGTAGGACTTGGTGACTGATCAGATGTAAAGGCTGAGGAAAATGTGAGAAAGAAGAGTCGAGAAATAAAAATTTCTTTTTTCCAGAGAGAAATATAGCAGTAGCTACAAGGGAAAGTGGGCAATCTAACCTAACTTAGGATAGAGACTGAGCATGCTTTGGGTGGGGGAAGCAGAGATTGAGAAAGAACACAATCAATTCAGTTATAGAGACAAGAGTACAGATGGGGTGATTTGCTTTGGAAGGAAAGAGGAGAATGTTTTCTCTGAGACAGAAGGGAAGGGACTGAGAACAGATGAAGAGAGATGTCTCCGTGGTAGGGTGGGAAGCCGAGGAGCTGAGGTGTGGCAGCTTTGATTCTCTCTGTAAAGCAGAGGGAACGCATCGCAAGGACAGAGTGTGGGGAGACAGCAGGTCACTGATGAGCCTGCAGTCCGAGCAGAGGGACTTGGACAGTGCGAAGAGGAGGAGTGTCATTTTGTTGGAGCTGGAATTGGGTGCCGCTCCTCTCTGGAGTCCACCTCTCAATGGGCACTGAGAACACTGATGTCCCCAGATACACTTGTCCCTGCCTAGGTTAACACAAAGAGAGTGCCAATGATTGTACTCTCCAGCTCTTTATGTTTTCATTCTATGCAGATCCTGGCCCAAGGTGTCTAGGTCACTCTCAGGAGTAGACCAGGTTACTGGTTTCCTCGTGTACAGCCCAGTTCTACCTTCTGTCAGTCACACATTAACCATCTTTTGGGTGATCCCCTCAGCAGAGGAATCCATTCGCTCAGGGGACTCTTGCAGATTTTTACTAGTTAATTCCAGGCTTGGCTGTGGTAGGAATCTCACCTCTAAACTGTGAGGATCTCTTTCTACAGTGTCCACAAGAAGACCGTAAAGGAGATAAAAAGAAACTAGAACTTGCCGGACCAAGATAGGAAATTTAATCAAAAGTGTTACCAGTATGAACATGGAATATAATCCATTAAATTCCCTACTTAAAACACAAAAAAATTCACTGGATTAAAAAAAATTGTATCTTGTTCACAAGAGAGGATACAGAAATGTTAAAAATAAAAGAACAGGAAAAGATATCTGTATCTATAACAACTACATATAATGTAGCTATAGTAAGTAATAGAGAAAATAGTTTTTGAGGCCTGAATCATTACCAGGGATAAAGAGAGTCATTTTGCATTGACAGAAAGTTCAATTCACCAAAAAGAGTAATTCTAAATTTGGTATACCTAATAACATAGCCTCAAAATATAATAAGCAAAAATAAACAAAATTGAAAAAGAGAAATGGATAAACCTCTGCTGGATCTTTCAAGTGAGAGATCTTAAAAACCCTCGTGAATTTGTAAACAAGCACACATAGTATCAAAAGGACACAGACGATTTGGACAACATGACTAACAAAACTGACCTGTTTAACATGTAAAGAATCTTGCACTTAAATGCAGAATATGCATTTTTTTCCAAGCACACGTGGAACACTGACAAACATGAGTTGTATACTGAACCACAAAGCGAGTCTTAACAAATTCCAAAGTATTGAAATCATAAACAGCATGTTTTCTGACAAAAATAAAATTAAGCTAGAAATTAATAACATCAAATAACTAACAAATCCAACAAATATTAGAAAATCTTTGTGTTTAGAAACTAAAAATTCTACATATAAATAACCCATGGGTCAAAGAATAAATTGTAATAGGAATTATAAAATATTTTGAACTAAATGATGAAAATACTAGATATTAAAATTTATCAGTTGCAGCTCTAGAGTACTTACATGGCAATTTACAGTCTTAATGCATCTCTAGTATTATAGAAAGAAAAGGTTAAAATGAACAAACTAAGCATCTCTCCCAAAAGGCATGAATAATAGTAAAATGAATCCAAGGAAAAAATAAGGGAGAAAGTAATACATTAATTAATGAAAGCACAAATTAATTAAGTAGAAAACACACAAGAGAGAGGGTCAATGAAGCTAAAGTTGTTTTTTGAAACAAACAATAAAAGTAATAACCCAGACAAGATTGACAAAGTAACACTAATAACCAATATCAGGAGAGAAAAGGATGCATTATTATAGTTCCCCCAAAATTAAAAAGATTGTAAGATATTATTATGAGCAATTTTATGCCAATGAAATGTAATATTTACATGGCATGGAAAAGTTTCTAGAAAAGTAAAACTTACATGAAGAGAGAAATTCTTTGTCTGCTTGATGGTCTTGGCTCTCTCTCCCTTCTCATTAATCTACTTTAGTTTAGCAGTACTAAACTGGTTCAAAGGAAAAAAATACAATTTTTTAGCTGATACAGGTACCATTATGCCAACCTCATAAGCACTTGGTGGCAATGCTCCACATTCTCCTGTCTACCAGCAAGGCTGATTCTTTTGCCAAGAAGCTTCTACTATTAAGTATTCCCTCCAAACTTCCCTGTAAATATCTGATGTGGCACAGAGAAAGAACGTCTCTTCTGGAGTACTTGCTACCGTGTGTCTAACTGTGTCCAGCTCAAGAACATGTTTCCTTGAAATAAAGAGAGTTTGGGAAGTTGCAGACATTCTGATGCATTGTTTGTAACTTTTCCCAAATAAATCTTACTTTATGCTTATACTAGTGGTATTTGTCCTCGACATCTGGCTTAATTTTATCAAAATTGACACAAGAAGAAGTAAAAATCATGACTAATCATGGAACAATTAAGGAACTTGTATTTTCAATGAAACATTCTGCCATTAAAAAAGTAACAAAAAACTTCCAGGCACAGATAGTTTAAACACTTGTTATACCAAACACTTGTTATACCAATCACTTCAGAATGAAACGATGTAAGTCTTACACAGACACTTCTGGAGAATAGAAAACTAAAAGCAGCAGTCCCTTTCCCACCTCATTTTATGAGGTTAAACTTATTATAAAAAATAACAAAGACAATGTAAGAAAACAGGCCAATCTCACATATTAATATAGAATAGACTTTAAAAACCATAAGCAAAACTATTAATAAATCAAAGCCAGCATTACATAAAAAATAACACATAACCAAATTAAGATCATTTCAGAATGTAAGCTTGACTTAACATTAGAAAAATCTATTACTGTAATTCACCACACTATAGGATATAGCAAATGCTGTTGCTGCCCCACTGATATTCCTTCAGAACTTATCAGTTCTGTGCATGCAGGCCCCAATTTCAACTGTCAGCACCTGTAACTTTATGTCTGAGGGCATTCTCAGGCTGCCCAAACATGTAACAGGCTGAAAGTACCAAATAATTAGGACCCAACCTTCGAAAGCAACCCTCTACCGATGACTGATAGCAGTAGATGGAGAAATACACAAGTTGCCTTGTTCTTTTGGAGAGGATAACCCTCAAGCATGTTATACATCTTACAAAGTCCCCAACGGTATTAAGCTCCAGTTGCCTATAATGGTAACTTGTCCAATATCCCACTGTGAAAGTTGTCAGAATGAAAATGGAGTCACTTGTGTTAAAACCCGGCAAATGGAGCCAGGGAAGGCCACAAAGGTAGAGCTTTTATATATGAATTCCTGATAACAAGAACTATCACAAAAGACTGTAAAAACCACAACCTTGCACAAAGGCCATTGTAACCTTACACACTCACAAAAAATACTTCTGCAAGGACATCTGCCCAGCAAAAGCCTGACTAGCCTTGGACTGTTGCCACCCTTGTTACTGATTGCTAGAGCCAAGAATTATTTCTCCAAAACAATTTATATAATCCTTCTCATTTTGCCTTTAAAAACTTTCCCTTACCATGACCTCCTCAAAAACACACATAGTTTACTGTGACACCTGTATTCCCATTGCCAATGCTCATTCCCTAAATAAATATAATTTCCTTTCAGAGAGCTTCCGTCTGTTATTTAGGTTAACACCACCTTTTATTGGCTTCTTTCCTTTCTCTGACTTCCCACTCCTTACTGGTGTTTCCTGAACTTACCTCCCAAATAAACTACTTGCTCTTAAATTCTAGCTTCAGGGTCTGCTTCTAAGGAAATCCAAGCTAAGACAACAGATTAAAGGAAAAAAATCATGTCATTAAAATAGATGAAGAAAAACATCCAATCAAATCCAACACATCTTCATGATGTGTCTACCTAAAACATAAAAAGAAATCTTATTTAATGGTGGGATGGTGAAAGCTTTCAATTGAAAACTGAAAGCAAGACAAAAGTGTTCTTAAAGGAGAAATGGAAACTGAATTGAGGAGCAAAAGGCTATCAAAATTCACCAAATATATTTTTAAAATAAATCAACTAAGACATTCCAGAAATGAAAAGTATCAATGTTTTCCTTTTTATTTACTTTTAATTGAAATACAACTCACAGTAAGGTACAGAAATCTTCAACGTACAGCTCAATTAATTTGTACACATACATACCTATGTACCCACCTCCCAAATCAAGATACAGAAAATTTCTAGCACCTCAGAGGGCCCCCTGGGTCCCCTTCCCAATTACCCTCTCTCCCGAAAAGGTAACACTATTGTATCACCATGGACTAGTCTTGCCTGTTCTTGATTTTATATACTGGAATCATACATAGTTACTCCTTTGAAACTGTTTTCTTTCACTCAATCTTATGTCTATAGGATTTATCTGTGTTTTTCCACTGTAGTGGTACTCTGTCCTTTTAAAAACTCTGTTTGGGATTCCATTGTATGACTAGACCATGACTTATTTACCTATCCTACTGTTCATGGACATTTGTTTCCAGTTTGGGACTATTAAAAGAAATGCTGCCATGAACATTCTTGCATGTACATATACATTCTCTGATGTCTGTATCAAGGAATATAACTGTTGAGGAAGAGGGTGTTTCTATTTTTACTTTTAGCCAATAATGTCAGATGGTTTTCTAAAGTGGATACAGCAAATGACACTACCACTAGCAGGGGATGAGAGTTACTATGGTTCCACATACCATCACTGAGTAACATCAGTCTCTTTCATTTTAACCAACCTAGCAACAATTCTAGCAATAGTTCACTGTGGTTTAACTTGCACCTTTCTAGACTCATGAGGTTTGAGCATCTTTTAATAGGCTTATTGGTCGCTTGGATGTCCAGTTGTATGAAGTAACTGCTCGAGTCTCTTCGTCATTTTTCTACTGAGTTGTGTATTTTTAATTGTCTTGTGCAATTCTTTACATATTTTGGGTATAAACCCTTCATCAGTTATGTGCAATAGATACCCTCTCCTGCTGTATGAGGTTTTATTTTCTTACTTGTGTTTATTGGCTCTCATGAATGTCAGCTGATTTCCCTGCGAACTTTTTAACTGTTCAGCAAACAGTATACAGAAGTTACTACGTGCCAGTCCTGTCTTCAGTGCTTTACACAGATTAACTCATTCAATCTACACAACAATCCATCAAGTAGACACTCTTATTACCCACATTTCACAGTAACAAAGTTGAAGAAAGGGAAGGGCAGTAATCTGCCCAAGGTCTTCTAGTGGGGTAGGCCTTGAAGCCAGGCTGTCTGACTTCAGAATCCACACCATTGGTATCCACGCTGCACTGTTTCTCCCAGGCTTATTGTACTTGTCCAAACTCTATCGATAGGCATTCTTTGAAGCATAGTTCCTGATGCAGTCTGGGGAGGATTTTCATTTGGCCAGGAGCCTATAGCACTACACATCCAACTGCAACATGAAATAAGTTGCCTGTAGTTTTTCAGACCCAATAAAGACTGTGAATTCAGGGCCCATTAAACCCCAGTCACTCAGCCCGTGGCTAGGGATTCTCGGGACTGGTTTTCTTTTTCCTGTCTTCTCTTCACTCCTTCTGGAAGAGCTCAGCCCTTCTTGTATCCTGTCTTTGTGCAAGGCAGTCTCCTTCCTGATTCCTCACCATGTGTGGGGCCTAAGACTTCTTCCTAGAAATGCCCGTTCATCACTGTACTACTGACACCTGGCCTCCAGAATCCAAACAAGTCCCAGCCTTCCTGGACTCAGGCTGCTGCCCAGCCCTGCCAGCAGAGCGTTCTGTGCTCCTGCAGGCTCATCAATTCTTTGCATCTTCCCTGGCAGTCCACCCTACTGCCAAAAAGGAAAAGCAAGAGGATTTTAACATTATCATAGAAATCATGGTGGAAGTCAGTGTTTCCCCAGGCTCTTGGGCCTGCAGCAGAGAGAAGTGGCTGGCTGTTGACTGCCTTCTGAGAAGGCTGCCAGGACTACAAGGCAAAGTCCTGTGGGTAAAGGAGAAAATTCCAGTAGCAGGGAAAGGCCGTTTACAGAAGAAGAGTTTGCCAGCTCCTGTGACAAGAGCAGAAGTAGGGCCTTGGCACAGCTGAGGAGGTGAAAAGGTATAACCCAAGTGTTACTCCAAGTATTCTTTCTAGGTGGGATGGGGCTCTGTCTGTCATCAGAAAAGGTCACATGGGATGCTGGAAGCAGTGGCTCATGCCTGTCACTCCAGCACTTTGGGAGGCCAAGGAAGAAGGGTCACTTGAGGCCAGGAGTTTCAGACCAGCCTAGGCAACATAGTGAGACTTCATCTCTACAAAAAAATAAAAAAGATTAGCTGGGTATGGGGGCACCCACCTGTGGTCCCAGCTACTTAGGAGGTTGAGGTGGGAGTATTGCTTCAGCCCGGGAGTTAGAGGCTGCAGTAAGCTATGATTGTTTCACTGCACTCCAGCCTGGATGACAGAAAAATACCCTGTCACTTAAGAAAAACAATGCAAGCCAAGTGGAGTTGTTCTGTAGCAACAGTTTTTGGTCATGAAACTATGGTAACACTGGCCCTATTAATGCTTTTGGGAAATCTACTCAGCTACACACTTCTCACTATTTCTTGGAGTTGCTCCTTCTCTATCATTCTTCATTTGTATTAACTGAAGAAGTAAAAGTTGAAAGAATCATCTTTTGTCCTAGACTGCAGTTGTGCTGAATCTGCCCTGAATGGAATACTGGGCTAGGAGAGCCAGACCTAACTCTGTCATTAAGTGTGTTAGGATAGACACCTCGGTCACACAGTTTCTCTTGTACATGCCCACCATAACAGGTACTGGAGGTTGACTCTCAAGGCCATTCTAGCAGCCACTGGCAGTGCTTTTCCAGGCTGCTGCCCGCAACCAAGGACTCAAGGCAGCGAAGACACAAGATCCAGGGTATTTGAGAAGGGGACACTGCCTCTTGTTATGCACAAGGTCAATGAGTTTTCACTGAGGTAGGCCTGGCAGCTCCTAGGAGCTTCCATTGCGAAGTGGCAACGCATAGGTCATCTGGGTGTGACTGTACAAGTCAAAGACATTAATTGAACCCCACAATAGCAGGAGGGGGCATAGCTCAGGGGTGGGGTGTTAGACTACAAACCAAGAGGCCACCACTTCGATTCCAGATACCCCCTCCGCATTTTCTATTTTGACATTTGTAGAAAGTAAAAAGTTTTGTTTTCAAAGTTTCTCTTTTTATTAAAAAATAAATCATAAGTGTTAAAAGTAATAGTTTCTTTTAAAAAACTAACTTCTTTCAAGCCTCTTTGCTTTGTGCCGATAACTCTTTATTAAACCTTATCTTATGTAGCTGTTACATATAAAAGAATAAGTACATTCTATGTTTTGTACTTTAACCAAGATATTTGTGCTAAACATGCTTACAAGCACATTCTAGCTCGCATCCTGTGTCCCTTCCTCATTAAAGAATGTTATTACTTTTCTAAGTCTTTTCATAAGCAACTTCCTCTTTTCCTTTCTTCTCCATTACTTTTACCTATTTTAAAAAGTTTTAAATTGGAAGCTAATCAAATTTAGTTTAAATTATAAAGTCTAGCTCCAGCCAATAGAGACAAGACACAGTAGAAAAGACAAGCTACATAAAACATAAATGTGCTCTGGCCATTATTCCATCTGCAAAGAGCCCCCTTTCTACACAAAGTAAAATTGCCTTGCTGAGAAAACTTTTTGTCTAAATGCAAATTTTTCCTTGCAGTACCAAAAAACAAACATTTTATTTCTAAATAAACATTTTACTTATAACAAAATGGTGGCCCGTACGGGGATACATTCTCTTCCTCTCTCATGAAGACACGCCCCACTGCCTCATTGCAGTGGCCTCAGGGGTAAGGAATTGAGTCACACCCGGTGCAACAAATAAACCTAGACTCTCAGCAAGGCAGAAAGAAACCAGCCGGCAACCTAGAGTAAAAGATCTTCACATACCACATGGACCAGGTAACCTCATGCATGAGCCAAGGAAGGAAACACCAGAAAAGCTGGTAAAGAATTTCACTGGTGGTCAAGACTAAAGAAAGAAAAGCTGCAGGACAGTGAAGCATTCCTTGGTTAAGACATACCAAGGAAAGAGAAACCACAGGGGCGATAAAGCATTCCTTAGTCAGGACTAAGGAAAGAAAAGCTGCAGGAGGCGAGTGAAGTATTCTTTAGTCGGGGTGTCTTGGAGGTTAAAAAGAGGTGAAAAATCCCCATTAGGGGGAGATTGAACCTCACACAAACCTCTGGTAGTAGGAAAAAATATTTAGAACTTCCCTTTCCCGTCTTCTCAGGGGAAGAAAGAGGCTAAGCTCCACTCCCGCCAGCCACTCCCTAGCGGGAGGGGAAGGAGAGAGGAGAACAGCAGTGTAGGTGGCTGGCAGAGGCATGGAAAGACCAGCAGAGAGAGAAAGAGAAAGAGAAAGGCAGAGACAGAAAGCAAAAATCTTTTGGCAAAGTTTTAAAGTTTTCTAGAAGAGGTGAAAGAAGAAAGGGAACTCAGGAATGCAAAGAGAAAGAAAGCAAAGTCAGTACTTTAAAGGAGAAGGTCAAAGTAAGTGTGTAACGGCTACGGATGTGAAGGTAAGGAGGAAAGACAAAGGGGCCCTCTAGCCCAGGGTTAATTACTTGTGCAATTTGCGCCGGGCATCTGCTGAGCCTCTGGGCTGGCGTGGCCTGGGCCCAGACTGCGGCCACACAAATCCCACCCAACCCAAAAGACTAAGTAGAAAAGAAAAAGGAAACGGGATGACAGAGAGAGAGAGAGCAGCAAATGAGAGAGAGACAGAGGGAGAGAATAAGTGAAAGAGAGGCTGAAAGAGACAGAGATTACAGAAAGACACAGAAGGTGTGACTGGGGAAAGAAATAGTGTTAAAAGAAGTCAGAAAGTTGAGGCACGTCAAAGATGGCCTATGAAAGTTGTAAAAAATGTTATAATAGGGAATTTATGCAAGGAATATTGTATAAAAGTAATTAGGTGTCCTAAATGTAAAACTATTAAAGAAACAGTTTATGTGCAAAGCATGTAAGGAAAGTGAAATATACTTTTACTAAAAGAATTATAAGGAGGCATAAAAATATGGATTTTTACCTACATTAAAAGGTTAAAAAAATAGGTGCTAATGAAAATTCAAAAAGAAAATAAATATTGCTAAACCAAAGAGAAATATTATCCAAACCCCTTATAAAGGAAATCTTGCTCCAACTGCATCAAAAAACCCATTAAGGGCCCTCAAGCGCAAAGTTATTAACAACAAGTTTCCACCTCCAGTGGCTCCTAGAGAGGCTGCAGCACAAGCTGATGGGGGAACCTAACCTTGAACAGACATTTCCTGTGCAGGGGAGGGGGTCAAGTGGCCATTAGACAGCACAGCCCAGCCCAAGGCCGGGGCCAGACAGCGAGGGCTCGGACAGGAGCAAAGTCTGAAGGCGGCCAGGTGAGGCACAAAGCCCCTCATTCCCAAAGCCGCAACGCACAGGAGCAGTGAAGGCCACGGGGAGGTGGAGACCTTAAGAGTGGGCAGGGCTGTCGCATCCCCTAGGCGACGCTAAGTGGGGATGAAGCAAGGGGTGTCACCATGGGGCCTTAAGCCCCAAGATATGCAGAGTTCTGACAAAATAAGGAGCCCCAGAGAGTCCCTCAGATGTAAGTAAAAATAAAAAAAGAAAATTTCTCAGCAAAAAGGCACTAGAGACTATAAAATCAAAGAGACACCTATAAATTGCCTTACTTACATTCCACTGCTAATGTCCCCACATTTAAAACAAAAAAAGCAGCTTCTCAGAAATTATAGACTTAGTTTATCTTCCACTTTCCCTTCCCTCAGAACTAAAAGTCTTTTAACACAAGTACCACCCCTAAAATTTCTGGTAAACCAGCACCAGCCTGGAGACCATGTCATCATCAAAAGATAAAAAAAAAAACAAAACCAAAAACTCAAGCCAGTCTCGGGATGACCCTGCCTCATGCTGCTAACCACTGAGACTGTCATTCGCACAGCAGAAAAAAGACAGACACATCACACCCAAGTCAAGAAAGCATCATCACCGTCAGAATCATGAGCCATTGTTCCAAGGTTAAGCCCTATCAAATTAAAGCTAAGAAAAACTCAATCTATCTTTTCTTTTTCTTTTCTTCCCTTTACTCCCCATCTTATTATTAATGAACTAGATCTAACTCATCTCAAGTTATTACTTTTGATGCCTGTTTAGTTATACCTTATAGAGATTAACATAACCAAAGACAGCTTACTACTTCAAAAAAAATATCTCTGTCCCTCTTGGACTTCCTCAGATTGGGAAGACATAATGAGTTCCTGTAAGTATTTATAGTATAAGAGCCAACATTTCAAAAAAAAAAAAAATCCTAGAGAAATTTTTGAAATGCGCTTTATTGCTACTTCAACTTCTCCATCAATCACTCCTCCCAAACACAGTGACAAAACCAAAGTCTCTATAGTAAAAGAAAATCTAAATCAAACAATAGCAATTAAAACAGGGTATCAGGATATAAATGCCTGGCTAAAATAGATTAAATATTCTATCTGCACTCTAAAAAAAAGCAATTGTCATGCTTGTGTGCATGGTAGGCCAAAGGCCCAGCTAGTCCCCTTTCCACTCAGATGGTCCTCTACAAGACATCGACTGCATGGTAGCTCCTTTTCAAAATCCTACAGCCTGGGATAGTGAACTGTGCCAAACTCTCTCTCTGCTATTTCCTGAAGTGCAATACCCTGTGGGTCAGCTGCCGAGGGCCATCCAGCCTCCATATTCCAAGACCAATTTTACCTCGTGTCTCCAACAACAAGAGAATAATTTGGTGATCCTTAGAGACTAAACAGGAGGCAGTGAGGTCAAGCACTTCCAAGAGCTGATGCATCAGTATGCCCTTATTCATCCCAAAGCAGATGTATAGTAGTATTATAGAACACCTTTACTAGACACCCTGACAAATAATTAGAGCAGTACTTGTGCTCTAGTTCAATTAGCTATCCTTTTACCCTAGTATTTCATCAACCAAAAAAACTTTTTCTTTTAAAAACTCAAGCAAAACAGCTAACCCAAGACATGTTAAGAAAGTTTAAAGAGAAAAAAACTATAAAATCAAGAGGAGCAAATTGTAGAAAGTAAAAAGTTCCCTCTTCAAAGTTTCCCTCCTTGTTAAAGAATAAATCATGTGTTAAAAAATAATAGTTTCTTTTAAAACCTAACTTCCTTCAAGCCTCCTTGCTTTGTGCTAATAACTCTTCATTAAGCCTAATCCTATGTAGTGGTTAAATAAAAAAGAATAAGTACATTCTATGTCCTTGTACTTTAACCAAGATATTTCTGCTAAACTTGCTTACAAGCATGTTCCAGCTTGCAGCCTATGCCCCTTCCTCATAAAATCATGCTGCTATAAAGACACATGCACACGTATGTTTATTGCGGCACTATTCACAATAGCAAAGACTTGGAACCAACCCAAATGTCCAACGATAGACTGGATTAAGAAAATGTGGCACATATACACCACGGAATACTATGCAGCCATAAAAAATGATGAGTTCGTGTCCTTTGTAGGGACGTGGATAAAACTGGAAACCATCATTCTCAGAAAACTATTGCAAGGACAAAAAACCAAACACCGCATGTTCTCACTCATAGGTGGGAACTGAACAATGAGAACACATGGACACAGGAAGGGGAACATCACACACTGGGGACTGTTGTGGGGTGCGGGGAGTGGGGAGGGATAGCATTAGGAGATATACCTAATGCTAAATGACGAGTTAATGGGTGCAGCACACCAACATGGCACATGTATACGTATGTAACAAACCTGCACGTTGTGCACCTGTACCCTAAAACTTAAAGTATAATAATAATAAAATCAAAAAAAAGAATGTTGTTATTTTCTAATATTTCATAAGCAACTTCCTCTTTTCCTTTCTTCTCCATTACTTTTACCTATTTTAAAAAGTTTTAAATTGGAAGCCAATCAAGTTTAGTTTAAATTATAAAGTCTAGCTCCAGCCAATAGACAAGACACAGTAGCAAAAACAAGCTACGTAAAAGATAAAAATTGCTTCCCTCCATTGTTCAAGTGTGCTCTGGCCATTATTCCATCTGCAAAGAGCACCCTTTCTACACAAAGTAAAATTGCCTTGCTGAGAATACTTCTTGTCTAAATGCAAATTTTTCCTTGCAGTACCAAAAGACAAACATTCTATTTCTAAATAAGCATTTTACTTATAACAACTTTTTTTTATTATACTTTAAGTTCTACAGTACATGTGTACAACGTGGTTTGTTACATACGTACACATGTGGCATGTTGGTGTGCTGCACCCATTAACTCGTCATTTACATTAGGTATATCTCCTAATGCTATCCCTCCCCACTCCCCCCACCCCATGACAGGTCCTGGTGTGTGATGTTTCCCTTCCTGTGTCCATGTGTTCTCATTGTTCAATTCCCACCTATGAGTGAGAACATGTGGTGTTTCGTTTTTTGTCCTTGTGATAGTTTGCTGAAAATTATGGTTTCCAGCTTCATCCATGTCCCTACAAAGGACATGAACTCATCCTTTTTTATGGCTGCATATAGTATTTCATGGTATATATGTGCCACATTTTCTTAATCCAGTGTATCATTGATGGACACGTGGGTTGGTTCCAAGTCTTTGCTATTGTGAATAGTGCCGCAATAAACATACATGTGCATGTGTCTTTATAGCAGCATGATCCATAATCCTTTGGGTATATACCCAGTAATGGGATGGCTGGGTCAAATGGTATTTCTGGTTCTAGATCCTTGAGGAATTGCCACAATGTCTTCCACAATGGTTGAATTAGTTTACAGTGCCACCGACAGTGTAAAAGTGTTCCTATTTCTCCACATCCTCTGCAGCACCTGTTGTTTCCTGACTTTTTAAGGATTGCCATTCTAACTGGTGTGAGATGGTATCTCATTGTGGTTTTGATTTCCATTTCTTTGATGGCCAGTGATGATGAGCATTTTTTCATGTGTCTGTTGGCTGCATAAATGTCTTCTTTTGAGAAGTGTCTGTTCATATCCTTCACCCACTTTGTGATGGGGTTTTTTTTTCTTGTAAATTTGTTTGAGTTCTTTGTAGATTCTGGATATTAGTCCCAGTCAGATGAGTAGACTGCAAAAATTTTCTCCCCTTCTGTAGGTTGCCTGTTCACTCTGACGGTAGTTTCTTTTGCTGTGCAGAAGCTCTTTAGTTTAATTAGATCCCATTTGTCAATGTTGGCTTTCGTTGCCATTGCTTTTGGTGTTTTAGACATGAAGTCCTTGCCCATGCCTATGTCTTGAATGGTATTGCCTAGGTTTTCTTCTAGGGTTTTTATGGTTTTAGGTCTAACATTTAAGTCTTGAATCCATCTCGAATTAATTTTTCTATAAGGTGTAAGGAAGGGATCCAGTTTCAGCTTTCTACATATGGCTAGCCAGTTTTCCCAGCACCATTTATTAAATAGGGAATCCTTTCCCCATTTCTTGTTTTTGTCAGGTTTGTCAAAGATCAGTTGGTTGTAGATGTGTGATATTATTTCTGAGGGCTCTGTTCTGTTCCATTGGTCTATATCTCTGTTTTGGCACCAGTACCATGCTGTTTTGGTTACTGTAGCCTTGTAGTATAGTTTGAAGTCAGGTAGCATGATGCCTCCAGCTTTGTTCTTTTGACTTAGGATTGCCTTGGCAATACGGGCTCTGTTTTGGTTCCATATGAACTTTAAAGTAGATTTTTCCAATTCTGTGAAGAAAGTCATTGGTAGCTTGATGGGGATGGCAATGAATCTATAAATTACTTTGGGCAGTATGGCCATTTTCACGATATTGATTCTTCCTATCCATGAGCATGGAATGTTCTTCCATTTGTTTGTGTCCTCTTTTATTTCATTGAGCAGTGGTTTGCAGTTCTTCTTGAAGAGGTCCTTCACATCCCTTGTAAGTGGGATTGCTAGGTACTTTATTCTCTTTGAAGCAATAGTGAATGGGAGTTCACTCATGATTTGGCTCTCTGTTTGTCTGCTATTGATGTATAAGAATGCTTGTGATTTTTGCACATTGATTTTGTATCTTGAGACTTTGCTGAAGTTGCTTATCAGTGTAAGGAGATTTTTGGCTGAGACGATGGGGTTTTCTAAATATACAATCATGTCATCTGCAAACAGGGACAATTTGACTTCCTCTTTTCCTAATTGAATACCCTTTATTTCTTTCTCCTGCCTGATTGCCCTGGCCAGAACTTCCAACACTATGTTGAATAGGAGTGGTGAGAGAGGGCATCCCTGACTTGTGCCAGTTTTCAAAGGGAATGCTTCCAGTTTTTGCCCATTCAGTATGATATTGGCTGTGGGTTTGTCATAAATAGCTCTTATTGAGATATGTCCCATTAATACCTAATTTATTGAGAGTTTTTAGCATGAAGGGCTGTTGAATTTTGTCAAAGGCCTTTTCTGCATCTATTGAGATAACCATGTGGTTTTTGTCTTTGGTTCTGCTTATGTGCTGGATTACGTTTACTGTTTTGCGTATGTTGAACCAGCCTTGCATCGCAGGGATGAAGCCCACTTGATCATGGTGGATAAGCGTTTTGATGTGCTGCTGGATTCAGTTTGCCAGTATTTTATTGAGGATTTTTGCATCAATATTCATCAGGGATATTGGTCTAAAATTCTCTTTTTTTGTTGTGTCTCTGTCAGGCTTTGGTATCAGGATGATGCTGGCCTCATAAAATGAGTTAGGGAGGACTCTCTTTTTCTATTGATTGGAATAGTTTCAGAAAGAATGGTACCAGCTCCTCCTTGTACATCTGGTAGAATTCGGCTGTGAATCCATCTGGTCCTGGACTTTTTTGGGTTGGCAAGCTATTAATTATTGCCTCAATTTCAGAGGTTGTTATTGGTCAATTCAGAGATTCAACTTCTTCCTGGTTTAGTCTTGGGAGGGTGTATGTGTCCAGGAATTTATCCATTTCTTCTAGATTTTCTAGTTTATTTGCGTAGAGATGTTTACAGTATTCTCTGATGGTAGTTTGTATTTCTGTGGGATTGGTGGTGATATCCCCTTTATCATTTTTTATTCCATCTATTTGATTCTTCTCTCTTTTCTTCTTTATTAGTCTTGCTAGCGGTCTATCCATTTTGTTGATCTTTTCAAAAAACCACCTCCTGGATTCATTGATTTTTTGAAGGGCTTTTTGTGTCTCTATCTCCTTCAATTCTGCTCTGATCTTAGTTATTTCTTGCCTTCTGCTAGCTTTTGAATGTGTTTGCTCTTGCTTCTCTAGTTCTTTTAATTGTGATGTTAGGGTGTCAATTTTTGATCTTTCCTGCTTTCTCCTGTGGGCATTTAGTACTATAAATTTCTCTCTACACACTGCTTTAAATGTGTCCCAGAGATTCTGGTATGTTGTGCTTTTGGTCTCATTGATTTCAAAGAACATCTTTATTTCTGCCTTCATTTTGTTATGTACCCAGTAGTCATTCAGGAGCAGGTTGTTCAGTTTCCATGTAGTTGAGCAGTTTTGAGTGAGTTTCTTAATCCTGCGTTCTAGTTTGATTGCACTGTGGTCTGAGAGACAGTTTGTTATAATTTCTGTTCTTTTACATTTGCTAAGTGCTTTACTTCCAACTATGTGGTCAATTTTGGAATAAGTGTCATGTGGTGCTGAGAAGAATGTATATTCTGTTGATTTCGGGTGGAGAGTTCTGTAGATGTCTATTAGGTCTGCTTGGTGCAGAGCTGAGTTCAATTCCTGGATATCCTTGTTAACTTTCTGTCTCGTTGATCTGTCTAATGTTGACAGTGGGGTGTTAAAGTCTCCCATTATTATTGTGTGGGAGTCTAAGTCTCTTTGTAGGTCTCTAAGGACTTGCTTTATGAATCTGGGTGCTCCTGTATTGGGTGCATATATATTTAGGATAGTTAGCTCTTCTTGTTGAATTGATCCCTTTACCACTATGTAATGGCCTTCTTTGTCTCTTTTGAATTTTGTTGGTTTAAAGTCTGCTTTATCAGAGACTAGGATTGCAAACCCTGCCTTTTTTTTTGTTTTCCATTTACTTGGTAGATCTTCCTCCATCCCTTTATTTTGAGCCTATGTGTGTCTCTGCACGTCAGATGGGTCTCTTGAATACAGCACACTGATGGGTCTTGACTCTTTATCCAATTTGCCAGTCTGTGTCTTTTAATTGGAGCATTTAGCCCATTTACATTTAAGGTTAATACTGTTATGTGTGAATTTGATCCTGTCATTATGATGTCAGTTGGTTATTTTGCTCGTTAGTTGATGCAATTTCTTCCCAGCATCGATGGTCTTTATAATGTGGCATGTTTTTGCAGTGGCTGGTACCAGTTGTTCCTTTCCATGTTTAGTGCTTCCTTCAGGAGCTCTTGTAGGGCAGGCTTGGTGGTGACAAAATCTCTCAGCATTTGCTTGTCTGTAAAGGATTTTATTTCCCCTTCACTTATGAAGCTTAGTTTGGCTGGATATGAAATTCTCGGTTGAAAAGTCTTTTCTTTAAGAATGTTGAATATTGGCCCCCACTCTCTTCTGGCTTGCAGAGTTTCTGCCGAGAGATCTGTTGTTAGTCTGATGGGCTTCCCTTTGTGGGTAACCCGATCTTTCTCTCTGGCTGCCCTTAACATTTTTTCCTTCATTTCAACTTCGGTGAATCTGACAATTATGTGTCTTGGAGTTGTTCTTCTCAAGGAGTATCTTTGTGGCATTCTCTGTATTTCCTGATTTTGAATGTTGGCCTGCCTTGCTAGGCTGGGGAAGTTCTCCTGGATAATATTCTGCACAGTGTTTTCCAACTTGGTTCCATTCTCTCTGTCACTTTCGGGTACACCAATCAGACGTAGATTCGGTCTTTTCACATAGTTCCGTATTTCTTGGGGGCTTTGTTCATTTCTTTTTACTCTTTTTTCTCTAAACTTCTCTTCTTGCTTCATTTCATTCATTGGATCTTCAATCACTGATACCCTTTCTTACAGTTGATTGAATCGGCTACTGAAGCTTGTGCATTCGTCACGTAGTTCTTGTGCCATGGTTTTCAGCTCCATGAGGTCATTGAAGAACTTCTCTACACTGGTTATTCTAGTTAGCCATTCGTCTAATCTTTTTCCAAGGTTTTTAGCTTCTTTGCGATGGGTTTGAACTTCCTCCCTTAGCTCGGAGAAGTCTGATCATCTGAAACCTTCTTCTCTCAACTTGTCAAAGTCATTCTCCATCCAGCTTCGTTCCGTTGCTGGCAAGGAGCTGCGTTCCTTTGGAGGGGGAGTAGTGTTCTGATTTTAAAAATTTTCACCTTTTCTGCTCTGTTTTTTCCCCATCTTTGTTGTTTTATCTACTTTTGGTCTTTGTTGATGGTGACGTACAGATGGGGTTTTGGTGTGGATGTCCTTTCTGTTAGTTTTCCTTCTAACAGTCAAGCCCCTCAGCTGCAGGTCTGTTGGAGTTTGCTGGAGGTCCACTCTAGACCCTGTTTGCCTGGGTAAAACCAGCGGAGGCTGCAGAAGAGCCAATATTGCTGAACAGCAAATGTTGCTCCCTGATCACTCCTCTGGAAGCTTCATCTCAGAGGGGTACCTGGCCGTGTGAGGTGTCAGTCAGCCCCTACTGGAGGGTGCCTCCCAGTTAGGCTACTCAGGGGTCAGGGACCTACATGAGGGGGCAGTCTGTCCATTCTCAGATCTCAAACTCCGTGCTGGGAGAACCACTGCTCACTTCAAAGCTGTCAGACAGGGACATTTAAGTCTGCAGAGGTTTCTGCTACCTTTTATTTGGCTATGCCCTGCCCCCAGAGGTGGAGTCTACAGAGGCAAGCAGGCCTCCTTGAGCTGCGGTGGGCTCCACCCAGTTCGAGCTTCCCAGCTGCTTTGTTTACCTACTCAAGCCTCAGCAATGGTGGGCGCCCCTACCCCAGCCTCGCTGCCGCCTTGCAGATCGATCTCGGACTGCTGTGCTAGCAATGAGCGAGGCTCCGTGGGCGTGGGGCCCTCCGAGCCAGGTGCGGGATATAATCTCCTGGTGTGCCGTTTGCTAAGACCGTTGGAAAAGCGCAGTATTGGGGTGGGAGTGACCCGATTTTCCAGGTGGCGTCTGTCACCGCTTCCCTTGGCTAGGAAAGGGAATTCCCTGACCCCTTGAGCTTCCCAGGTGAGGCGATGCCTCAACCTGCTTTGGCTCATGCTCGGTGGGCTGCACCCACTGTCCTGCCCCCACTGTCCAACAAGCCCCAGTGAGATGAACCCGGTACCTCAGATGGAAATGCAGAAATCACCAGTCTTCTGTGTTGCTCACGCTGGGAGCTGTAGACTGGAGCTGTTCCTATTTGGCCATCTTGGAACCGCCCCCCACTACGACATTTTAAATAGGTGTCTACGTTTTAACTTCTTCCTTATTAGACACTAGGGTAAAGGTTTCATTATTTTCTGAAATCAGCAAATGCTGAGGCTAGAAAGTGGTGGTTCTTAACCCCAGATATAAATTAGAATCACTTGAAGAGTCCATGAAAGTGCCATTTCCCAGGCCTCACACCAGACCAATTAAATCAGAGCATCCAGGGTGGGGCCCAGGCATGATAAAAGCTCCCAGGAGGCTCTAGACTGTAGCAAAGGGCAAGACCCCACTTTAGCAGAGCTTCCAAGAAGCCTCCGTAGCCCAAGTCTCCCTGTTCCCACTCTGCCTCTTCTTATTCATCCTTAGGTGAACCCCAAATATCTAGAGAAAGGTCTCCATTAATTATGAAAGTGTATTTTGCCAAGGACGCAGATGCGTGTCTGTGACACTGACTCAGGGCGTCCTGACAACCTGTTCCAAAGGTGGTAGGGGCACAGCTTGGTTTTATACATTTTAGGGACACATGAGCTATTAATCAATACGTGTAAGATGTACACTCGTTCCATCCAGAAAGGTGGGACAACACCAGGCGAAGGTGGGACAACTGGAAGCTGGGAGGGGGCTTCCAGGTCATAGGTAGAGAAGAGACAAAAGGTTGCACTCTTTTGCATTTCTGATGAGCCTCTCTAAAGGAGGCAATCTGATAGAGATTTATCTCATAATCAGAGGGGTGACTTTGAATAAAATGGGAGGCAGGTTTGCCCTAAGCAGGTCTCAGCTGGACTTTTCCATTTAGCTTAGTGATTTGGGGCCCCCAAGATTGAATTTCATTTCACACTTATGTAGACAGCACTTAAAACTGGACCAGAGGCCGGGCGCAGTGGCTCACACCTGTAATCCCAGCACTTTGGGTGGCCAAGGCGGGCAGATCACGAGGTCAGGACATCGAGATCATCCTGGCTAACACGGTGAAACCTCGTCTGTACTAAAAATACAAAAAATTAGCCAGGCGTGGGGGTGGGTGGCTGTAGTCCCAGCTACTCAGGAGGCTGAGGCAGGAGAATGGCGTGAACCCGGGAGGCGGAGCTTGCAGTGAGCCAAGATCATGCCACTGCACTCCAGCCTGGGCGACAGAGTGAGACTGCGTCTCAAAAAACCAAAACCAAAACCAAAACCAAAACCAAAACCAAAACCAAAACCAAAACCAAAAACAAAACGAAACAAAACAAAAAAACTGGACCAGAACAGCATCTTCCAGGAACAAAGGCTGTTTCAACATTTCCTAGTTGTCTTAATTTTTCCCTTGCCTGATCCAGACATTCTCTCTGGGATGGGGTGGTATTGGTCTTCTATTTCCAAGACAAACCACCAGGATCTATAGCTCAATCAGTAAGCCCTTATAAGGCCAAGACAGTTTGCAGAGGATGAAATGTCAACATGTTAAAGTGTAAGTAAAGTTCTACGTTGTGTTCAGATGTTCCAATTATCAACGGCAATTTTACATCATAGTTAAGCTTTAAAGGTGAACTTCTGCAGAAGGGATCACTGAATTACATCAACCATCTCAAAAACTAGAGGATGTCATGGCGTTCTATGCTTTAGAGAACAAACAGCTTTTTTGACACAAATCTTAAAATTCATAGAGGTTCAACTATACAGCATAGAATTCTGAAGCACAATTCATGATTTTTAGTATCCCTTATACTAATCATGTTTTATGAACCTTTTTAAAAACTACCTTATATTTAATAATTCTTCAGATTTATATAAACAACATAAGTTTATACTTTAGATAGGTTGAAAACATGTTCTGGTAATAAAAGTATTTGAAAGCAGCAAAGTCTTACTATCTTTACATTGAATGGCAGGAAAACACAACAGAGAAGCAGGCACTGAAGACAGAGCCTGGTCAAGTGTAGTGTCACTTGAGGCTCTGTCTAATTTGATCATTTTGCAAATGACACTTTGCTCTACTCCTCTGAGTTGAAAATATTCTGCATCCTGTGACTCTCCTTATTAGTATAAGATGTATGGCCTGAAAAACAGAACTTCTTTTATTTTCAATGATATGTTTCATAATTTCTTACTCATTAAAGCGGATTCTTTTAACAAGAGATGTGAACTTTTTATTTAGTATTTTTTTCCCTCCAAAAAGTGGCACTGGTAACTCAAACGATAAATGCTAGAGGGGATGGATACCCCATTCCCCATGGTGAGCTTATTTCACATTGCATGCCTGTTTCCCAATAGCTCATGTACCCCATCAATATATACCACTATGTACCTACAAAAACTTAAATTTTTAAGAGGTAGCTTTTGCTGTTTCAGTTCCACACTTAGAGCTTTGGCCTAGAACTTGGGTACTTGCCCCTTTCCTGTCCCTGCCCTCCAATACCTTCTGTTAGTAGAAATGGTCTCTTGGGGCAGCCTCCTTCCTGTATCCCCATTACTGTTTCAGCTCCTCTACCCAAGCCCGCCAGCCCTCCAGCTACTCTATAAACAGTCTTCTTCCACCTTAACCTTGCCCTGCAAGTCTGCCTTTTTATGACTCCTTGTACATTTGAAGGCCAGCTTTCCCCTAAAGCCATCCCTCCCCTTCAACTCCCAGAACAGAGGGTGGGGTCACCTTCTCAGTCACATTCTCCATGTTGCCCCCAAGCCCCAGCTCCTCCGCCATCCCTCCCTGCTTCCCTCTCTCAAAGACATCTCCTTCCACCACTCTCTCACCATTCATGTCTTCTCTGATATTTTACACTCCAGAAACATTGGACATTTTTAGAACCAGACTAACAAACCTATTTTCCTCACCGCCCTCTCCTTTTGTCCTCAGGAATGTCAAACACCACGACAGAATAACAATCCTATTTTCCTCACCACCTTCTCCTTTTGTCCCCAGGAATGTCAAACACCATGACAATGTGCTTCCAATGCTAAGGACTTCCAGTGCTAAGAGATTTCCATCTTCACAGCTCTACAAATGTTCACAAACTCTACTCACTGCAGCTCTCAAGGTGTGTGGTGAGACAGAGATTCAGCATTTTCCACCAGTGTCTTCTACCCTGCTTCTTGGTTATCAGCTGGGCACATGGCTTCCCCAAAGGAAAACTGCATTTCCCAGACCCTCTTGGAGCTGTGAGGCCACAGGCATAAGGCTGGTCAATGAGATGCAGGTGAAAGTGATGGATGTCCTTACAGGAAAGACTTGTCTTTTCCATCTTCCTGCTGCCTGGGAGGTTGATGAGATGCTAATGTGGGTGATGTCATGCTGGAATGAAAGCCAAGCCGGCCAGACAGCCAGAAAGAAGAACTTGAGTTCTTGACCCTATGGAAAGCCATGCCTGGACCACCTAACTGTGGACTTTTAAGTGGCAGATAAGGAAGCTTCTGGTTTGTTTGCTGCTTCTGGTTTTACTTTAATCGTTCAGTATTCATAGCCAAATGTGATCATTGCTCAAACTATTCTCTTTCAAGATCTTAGAATCAGAAAGTACTTTAATGACACCACTTCTGATGTTTACCTGTTCTCCTTACTGTGACTCTCTGCTAATAAGCAATAATTCTGTTCCTTTCTAATTCACCTTTTCTCCGTTTCCCACCATGCCTGGTTCACGCTTTGCCCTTCTTCCCAAGTAATGATTCCCACCCTACCTCCTTTATTCTCTTTGGATGACCTGTTTTCTACCTGACTGAGAAGACCAAGATATAGAGTTCCCTGAGCATCCTCTGCTTCTCTGCATCTTCACCTTCTCCTCAACCCCTCCAGGGTAAGAGAGAAAGCCTGGTTTTAACCAATTCCCTGCCAATGGATATTTTGATGGTCTCCAGTGTTTGCTGTGAGGAATTAAAAAACCGCTATCATGAATCTCCACATACATGTGTCTTCATGCAATTATAGGAATATTTTTGAAGGATAAATTACCACAAGTGATACTCTGTAGAGAATCATCTTTTCTATGTTTTCTTTTTTTTTTTGTTTTTATTTTAGGTTCAGGGGTACATATGCAGGTTTGTCATATAGGTAAGCTCATGTCATGTAGGCTTGGTGTACAGATTATTTCATCAGCCACGTACTATGCATATGTATTTTTTCTGATCTTCTCTCCTTCCACCATCCACCCTCAAGTAGGTGCCAGTGTGTGGCATTCCCCTCTCTGTGTCCATGTGTTCTCATCATTTAGTTCCCACTTGTAAGTGAGAACATGCATTATTTGATTTTCTGTTCCTGTGTTAGTGGCTAAGGCTAATGCCCTTACAGGTCCATCCATGTTGCTCCAAAGGAAATGATCTCATTCTTTTTTATGGCTGCGTAGTATTCCACAGTGAATATGTGCCACATTTTTAAAAGACTAAGTATTATTTTTTGAGTATTTTTTTTTAACAAAAGCAATTTGCTTTTCCCTTGACAAATTATCATGAACAGTATTCTACGTCAAATACAAGTCTCCAGACACAGGCTCTGGTTTCCTTTCAGTGCTGGAGAAGGTGGTGTCACCTAGTTAGAGTTCCATCCCCAGCCTAGCACACCTCACATGATGCTCAACAATTGCTACTGTCTAAGAGAATTATCTGGATGACTTGAAGGGTCTCTCCATTTATAAAGCTCAACAAGGCTACCAGGGTGTCCTTAACCAGGTACACACAAAAGTGATGGAGAAAGAAGTATCAGTGACAGGAGGGAGGCCAGAATTCAGAGAAACAACCGGCGTAGACATCCAAGCCGGAAGAGCTCGGTCTTGCTCTTGCTGTGCTGACACATGAAAAGGGTGTTAATTACACTGTCTACCTATGACTGGGGGTATAGCTCAGGGGTAGAGCATTTGACTGCAGATCAAGAGGTCTCTGGTTCAAATCCAGGTGCCCCCTACACTGTTCTACTTTTTAATCACCAAAGTGGGTCCTGGGTCATAAGCTCCACCCAATCCACCCTGCAAAAAAAATGACACAGCCTATCTAATCTCTGACCCACAGCATCTCTGAAGTGCAGACTCAATAGCCCTCAGGTGATTTCATGGGTTTTAAAGTTTGTAAGGCACATCTGTCTCCTGCA
The DNA here is from genome assembly GCF_000001405.40 of Homo sapiens. Taxonomy (NCBI): domain Eukaryota; kingdom Metazoa; phylum Chordata; class Mammalia; order Primates; family Hominidae; genus Homo; species Homo sapiens. The sequence continues at coordinate 149,584,981 of NC_000007.14, forward strand.
GCCCTCTGGATACCACTCCAGGACTTTTGCAGAGTTCTCCAGAATCTCCCCAGGCACATCCATGTGATTCCCAAGAGAGGGCTGGGCCATGTCTCTAAGTCCTGCTGTATTCTCCACAGCACCCAGCTTCCACTGTGGCACAGGAGAACCTGAACCAGCCACAGTTTCATGCCCGCCTCCAACAGGTATGAGAAATCTAATGAGCTTAGATTTCTAAGTGTGCTGCACCCTGGACTTTGGCTCTGGGCCCTCAGGTTCTGGATTTCCCATCTGGGGCTGCTGCAGACTCACACCCTGGCCTACCCAGACCAAGGACTGGGGAAAAGCAGGATTCTGGGAGGCTCTGTGAGACTGTGGGCAAGGAGCGAGATGATAGAGGAAGTCAGCTGGGACTACCCAGAGGACTGACCTGATCCCATCAACCTCTTCTCTCTCCTCCATGCAGACAGATACAGATCATGGGCTCCAGCAAGGGAAAGGAAGCTGGTGTCAGATTCCAAAATCAGTAAATAAAAATAAGAATCCGTAAAGGGCACCCTGATTGGAACCTTTTGGTCTGTCCCCTAAGGCTCATCTCATTATTATGTGATGAAAACCTTGCAGTCTGTAGCCTTTTGGGTGAGAGGAGCACACCATGGGTAGTAACTGTGGTCTCTCGAGCCCCCTCTGATGGTGGTGGTAGCTGAACAAAGCAAGATGCAGGATGTGGTCTTTTCTGGAATATTCTGATGTTCCCAAAAATACCAAACCTCCAGGAGCTTCACAGATGCAGCAGAGCCACCAATAATCCCCAATTATGTGGATATTTCCCACTCCTCAGTGCAGTTTCCAGGCAAATGGCTGAAGGGGCTATTATGGGAAATCTGGCAGGAGGATTCACTGTCCATGACTGGGTATTTTGGCAGAGTACTTTTCTCAAGCTTGGCTTTCTCGTCATCAGGGGAGGCAGGTTCTTTGAGCAGATTCAGACCTGGGGAATGGGTCAGAGGCCAGGAACCTCCATTGTGCCGGCTATGGTGGTAGCTCAGGTCTACACGTCTAGGGGACCATGATGGGCTCCCCATTGTCAGGCCTAGAATCCTCCCACTGATGAGTCACAGCCAAGACCTGTGTGGCAGAGACCATGGAATAACATTCTGTGGTAAAGTGTCCACTGCTTGGCCTCTGACACCCTACGATCCTCCTAGCCCCACTGAAATCAGGAGCTTCCTTTCCGCTATCATCACTCCCACCAGCATTTTTGTCTACAGAGAACAGCTACCAGGATTCTTTTCATGAATGTAGAAGCTCCACACACCTAGGTATTTTTCAAGCCAGGGCAAGTCACGTGTGATAAATCCACTCCAGCTTACCTACCCCCTGAAGCCAATGTATTCTTTCTACATTATAGCAAGAAATTCCTAGTATCTCAAATGCATTTAGAATTGGCCTCCTGTGGCTGGGCGCGGTGGCTCATGCCTGTAATCCCAGCACTTTGGGATGCCGAGGCGGGCAGATCACGAGGTCAGGAGATCGAGACCATGCTGGCTAACATGGTGAAACCCCGTCTCTACTAAAATTACAAAAAATAAGCCGGGCATGGTGGCGGGCCCCTGTAGTCCCAGCTACTCGGGAGGCTGAGGCAGGAGAATGGCGTGAACCCGGGAGGCAGAGCTTGCAGTGAGCCGAGATCGCGCCACTGCACTCCAGCCTGGGAGACAGAGCGTGACTCCGTCTCAAAAAAAAAAAAAAAAAAAGAATTGGCCTTCTGTGAATCCAGGCTTAGGTCCACCAACTGAGCAAACAGGTTTATCCCAGCTGCTCCAGCTATGGTATCTTAAATAGAATTTTAATTGGGAACACTCCTAATAAAAAAATTCAGACTCATTTAAAGTTATACCCTTTCTACTTTATAAAGTATTCCAAGAATCTACATCCACACATGCTCTTTAAGTTTTTGCTGACAGACATTAGCCAGTTGGAAATGATTTTGGTGTGTGAGTCTTTGCCTCCCAGCAACTGGTGCCCAGGCTCAACTGAGATCTTACTCTCACTGTAAGTCAAGGGACAATGAGGATGGGGAAACCAATCTCTTGCAGTGAAAACCCTTCCATCTGGGCTGGTCGGCTTTTGCGGGAAGAAGGGGCAGGCTTGGAGATTAGGGAGAGCTGGTGATTTGGGATAAACTGAGTTTTCCAAATGCTTCCATAAACCTACCTTAAAATTCCTGAAGTTCCACTCTCTTAATCACTGACCTATTTTCAGCTGGGAGACCGGGGGAAGCTGCAGATTCCATGGACATCAAAGTTTGGTAAGCCACAGGGATCAGACTTGGCTTTCATTTTCACCTAGTTCAGTTATTCGGGGGCAGGAGATCAGAGAGTTTTGTTATACAGTCAGAAAAAGCCCTGTGTTTTCAGTCCATGGGAATGGATCATACAGGGTGACAAGTGAGCTACTTGCTTTGTTTAAACTGGTAGGACCAGTCATCCTGCCCAGAGGCCACTTATAAACTGGGAACTACAAATTGGTCCTGATGGGACTGCAGGCAAAGTTACTCAACTTTTCTACAGCCTGATATGGGCTTCTGGATTTCTATCCCCTCAAACTGCGTAGATTTTCATTACCTTCAAGTTTAATGAGGCCAGATTCCCAATCCACATTCCCTTTATGTTTCTGTAATCATTTATTATACATCCCTGGTACCAGCAAGGGCACTTTGATTAAAGAAGACATCATCTAAGGTGAGTGGAGACACAGAGGGCAATTGCTGACAGGATGGCGAGGAGCTCACGCACTTCAGAGAAGCCTGCAGAGCCAGGCTCATCAAACAGGCAGGACCTCAGCCCACCCTGGCTAGGGAGCCACCACTGCCACCACAACAGACACTAGCTGCAGCCTCTGGCCCTACTGCCATTGCCAGAGCTCTGCCATCTCCAGAATGAATTCCAAATTCACCCCGCCTCCATGTATGATTTAATCAACATTCATAGTCTTGTTTAGGGGAATATAATTGGCTAAACTGAAGCCATTACCAATTGTGCTGGTTAATTTTACATGTCAGCAGGGCACAGTGGCTCATGCCTGTAATTCCAGCAGTTTGGTAGGCTGAGGCACGTGGATCGCTTAAGCCCAGAAGTTTGAGACCAGCCTGGGCAACATGGCAGAATCCCATCTCTACAAAAAATACAAAAATTAGCTGGGCGTGGTGGTGCACACCTGTGGTCCCAGCTACTCTGGAGGTTGGGGTAGGAGGATCTCTTGAGCCCAGAAGACGAAGGTTGCAGTGAGTGGAGATAGTGCCACTGCACTCCAGCTTGGGTGACAGAGGGAGCTTCTGTCTGCCTCAACAGTTTTTTTTTTTTTCTTTAAATGTGTCAACTTGGCTAGGCCATGCTGGCCAGATGTTTGTCCATACCAATCTGGATGTTGCTGTGAAAGTATTTTTTAGATGTGATTAACATTCAATCTATAGACTTTGACTAAAGCAGATTACCCTCCAAAATGTGAGTGGGCCTCATGCGATCAGATGAAAACCTTATGAGGAAATATCTGCTGTCCCCCAAGAAAGGAATTTTGCCTCCATGCTGTCTTCAGGCTGGAGCTGCAACCTCAACTCTTCCCTGCTTCTCCAGATTGCTGCCATGCCCTGAAGACATCACACTTGCCAGCCCCCACAATGGCATGATCCAGTTCCTAAAAATCTGTCTATGTACACACACGTGCACACGTGCACACACACACAAGCCCCTATTGGTTCTATTTTCTCTGAGGAACCCTGATTCACACACCAACGTTCAGGGAGACAACATATCTGACCTTGTATTTTCCTTGACCAGAAACAGGATCCTGTCTTCCACCAAGACTTACACAATTGTGAATTCCCCAAATGAAGAGGGTTGAGATGTGCAAGAAAAAAAGAGTTCTCCCCAGACCTGTGGACAATGACAGCCTTCTAGAAACTGGGTTTCTCTACAGCTTCTGGTGTCAGGTGAGGCTTTCTAGTGAAGACCTGACCTGCCTCCTCTCTCTCCTGCTTTGCAGAATGAATCCATGTGTTGAAGAAAGGCTAGGAATAGAACATCATATCATGTTCAGTGAGTGAAAACAGGGAGGGGGCACCTGGATTTGAACCAGGGACCTCTTGATCTGCAGTCAAGTGCTCTACCCCTGAGCTATACCCCCATTTGACTACCTATCTCTAATAACTACTATAAACCTGTATGGCCATATCCTGTCACCGTCATGAGATGTGTACTTGCTTTGCCATGATACACCCCCTTCCCACTCCACACCTGCCTGCTAGCTCTACTTACAACCAGCATCCTTCTTCCTCCAGTGTGTGACTGAAGGCAGGGACATTAAAATCACTGAGGTTTGCAGCCAAAACATCCTTCAGACTCGCCTAGAACAGAGGGACTCAAAAGAATTGGTTGTTCAGCAGACCCGCTGGAGGTGAGGATGGGCTGGGCTGGGCAGGGCAGGGCAGAGCTGGGTAAAATCGAAAGTTCTTGGGCCCCACTTGAGGACTCCTAAGCCAGACTCTCTGGGAAGGGACCTAGGGACATGTGTGCTTCTAAAAAACCTGCAACATTCTAACTCATGGTTTGGAGATACTCGTTTAATCTGTTCCCTTCCATGGTATAGATCTGGAAAAAATGACAGTAATTAAAATCATACCCAAACAAAACACACCTGATTAATGACCAAGTCAAGACTAGAATCCACATTCATGATAAAGGGCCTCTTTGCACTGAACACTCTGAGGCAGGAGTTGAACTGCCTTTTCCTTTCCTCTTTTCCATTTGCTGAATCCCACAATGTGTCAGATAAAAGTAGTGACCAGAAGACAGGATCCAATCCATGGAAAGTGGAGAAGTGGAGAATCAGAGAAATCTGTGGTCACTGGGACATGACACAGGACGGAGTGACTGCAAACACATGGGCAGAGTGAAAGGAAGGGCCAATACGTGACACCATCTTGAAACAGGGACTACTTGATATGCAGCCAGATGCTCTGCCCTCAAAATATGCCCTCTCAACTGTTTAGACTTTCCTGATTGACACTGTTTCACCTATGTTCCCACGCCCAAGGATCTAATAGACATTGTAATTTCTCATCATTTTCAGTGAACCACTGGCAACTGACCTCCTTCAGACAGACCTCTATCTGGCTTTGAACTTACCCTGTCCTTCCCTATGGACCTATCAGAGGACTTCTAGAAATCTTTCCTGCCTAGAATCCTGCAGCCTCCTCCTCAGTCCCTGTGTGGGGCAACAATTTGGAGAACTGCTGTTTAGAGCTGGAAGCTTCCTCTCTCCTTCTCTCCTGCTTTAGTTTTATCTTCTTTAACCTACATCCCATACTCCCTCTCCACTTCACTTTCACCCTCTGCACAGTGGGGTACTTTGGGCCTTGGCCTACATTTTTTCGACTGTCTTCTCTTCTTCCCTCTCCTCACTTACTAGTCCTTCCCTTTAAAAGGGAGACACCACCTTAACAGAGGGGACCCAGCCCCATGCTAGCTCCAAACCATTAGCTCAGCACAACTGGCAGAGCCAGGACCAGGCACAAAGGCTGGCTATTTGAGCCCTGAAGCTCAGGCCTCCAGTGTCCCCTGTATTAGGACCAGGATCTCTCCCCCATTAGGTTGGCAGAAATGTAATTATAGAAACTGGGCAAAGATGTACGGAAACAGGTTCCTCATAGCTGCTGGAGCACCCGGTGGCACTGGGGTACTTCTGGGGACAGCAATATGGCAATGGCAGAGATGAAATCAAGCAAGCCTATGATATGGTGAGGCCACCGCTGGGTCTGTTTTCTGGAGTAGCATCCCAACAGGGGCACAAAGAGACAGGCCCAAGAACGCTCACTACGGTATTGCTTGTGTGAAAAATCAGAAAAAGCTTAAGTGCCAATCAGTGGAGGAATGGAAAATAAGTTACAATATAGTTGCTTCTGGAATATTAAGCATCTGTTAAAAGGAATGAACTTGATCTACATGTATCAACATGGATAAGTCTGAAATACAGAATAATGAGTGATAAATATAATAACATCCATGTAATTTTTCAAAACACAAAAAACCATATAATATACTGTTTACAACTACAAATGCACATGGCAGATGTTTTAAAATGTGGATAGAGGCCAGGCGCAGTGATTCAACGCCTGTAATCCAGCACTTTGGGAGGGTGATGCAGGCGGATCATGAGGTCAGGAGATCGAGACTATCCTGGCTAACACGGTAAAACCCCGTCTGTACTAAAAATACAAATATTTGCCAGTCGTGGTGGTACACGCCTGTAGTCCCAGCTACTCAGGAGGCTGAGCTAGGAGGATCGCTTGAACCTGGGAGGCAGAGGTTGAGGTTGAGCCGAGATCACGCCACTGCACTCCAGCCTGGGTGACAGAGTGAGACTCTGTGTCAAATTAAAAAAAAAAAAAAAAGTGGATAGAAAGGATAAACACAGACAATTCAGGACAAGTGGTTGCTCCAGGGAGGCATGGGAGACCTTAAAAGAAATTTAAATGGTATCAGAAATCCATTATTTCACACACACACATCACACACACTTTTTAAATTATGAAGCATGGCATACATTCAGCAAATAATTATTGAATTCCTACTCTGTGTTAGGCAATATTCTAGGTGCCTAGAATGATTATATGAAGAAAACAGATTAAAAATTTTTGTACTTTTGAAATTGACATTCTAATGGGGAAGACCTGACATACGATGAATCTATAAATAGGAAACATACATATACATGATGCTGTCTGACAGGCAAGACCCAAAGCAGGAAAGCAGGTCCAGTGTCCTGGGTGACGAGAAGATAGGGAAGGTCTGCAGAAGCAGCAAAAAGACGAGGCCTGAGACCCAAAGGCAGGGTCTCTAGAGAAGGAGTGAAGCTGGCAGAAGCGCAATCATGAGGGGCAAGGACCCTGTCCCCGGTGGGCCTGGGCTCAGAGGGAGGCAAGGAAGAGGATGACAAACACTCAGAGGGCTGCAGTCCCCTGGAGCTCAGCCCGAGCAGGGAACGCTCAGGACCTGGCAGGTCTGCTAAGCCCTGAGTCCGATAAGGCTCAGTGGAGGGATGTGCAGGAGGTGAGGAGAAGGGGAGGTGAGGTCTCACAGGGGGATGGGCCAGGCCAGATGTGGCGAGGGATGAGCTGGGAGTCCTGGCTTCTCAGACAGAGGACAGAGATAAAGGCCACACAGGATCCCTGCCAACAGGCTCAGGATGGACAGTGCAGTTTGTGTCTACTCATCTTGTCTACTGGTGGGTAGAAGCCAAGGATGCTGCTGAACATCGTATGATGCAGACAGAGAGTGCTGTGGAGTCTTACCATCTACTACCATATTTCCAGACCCCTCTTTACTCTAATTTAACAATGGTGTGAATGCGAGGGAAGCCTCCATACACAATGTAAATACAATGAAACCCAGTCACCCACAACTTCCCACCCAGCCTAGGAAGCTGGATGCACCTGGATTGTAACCTATTGCAGCCCAAAAGTATCTGTTCTCGACCATCTTTATGTCCTCTAGCACTCAGCACTGTCCTTGACACCTAGAAGATTCTCAAAATGCATCTGTAGAACTAAACTGTCAATGTCCTGATGACGACTGGCAAAGCGGCCAGCCCGGAACATGCTTCTGCCCTTAGGGAAGTGCAAACCTGACTGAGATGAGATGACGGACATGGGGGATGCATTTAATTTCACACAAGTGGCGCACAGGAGGGCCTCTGCGGAACACCACCTTTCTCAGTGTCAGACGAAAGGGAAAACCAAAGTAGGTGGGACGGTCAAGGGCGGGTCTTCTGGAAGAATCAGGGGTCGAGCCTTGCAGAGATGTGGTCTCCCTAGTCAAATGACCCAGCAGGTCTCCACTTCAGAAATTTGGTTTTTCTCGTGTCCACCCGTCCTTCCCTTAACTTTCAAAGGTGCTGACTGGCTCCAGGGAAATCTGAGACACTGATATCTGGTAACCAGATTCACCTTAAATAAATGTGTGCTTTTAATCATACCGAACCATAAGGCTGACCAATGGGTTTATGTTCTACAACTGCTACAGGTTTAAATTAAGGTTAAGGCCAGCCGCGGTGGCTCACACCTGTAATCCCAGCACTTTGGGTGGCCGAGGCGAGCGGATGGCCTGAGGTCAGGAGTTGAAATCCAGCCTGGCCAACATGGTGAAACCTCATCTCTATAAAAACACAAAACTCAGCTGGGCATGATGGCGAGTACCCGTAATTCCAGCTACTGAGGAAGCTGAGGCAGGAGAATAGCTTGAACTCGGGAGGTGAAGGTTACAGTGAGCCGATAACGCGCCACTGTACTCCAGCCTGGATGACAGAGCGAGACTCTGTCTCAAATAAACAAATTAATTAATTCATCAATTAACGTTAGTCATCGGAGGCAAGGTGGACTCTTTGCAAAGCTTTGAATTAACTTTGTCTTCAATCCACAGCTGCCCCTTGAACAACATGGGTTTGAACTACGCAGACCCACTTATAAGTGAATTTCCTTCTCCTCTGCGACCTGAGACAGCAAGAACAACCCCTCATCCTCCTCCTCAGCCTACTCAATCTGAAGCTAATGATGAGGATGATGACCTTTACTATGACTCACTTCCACTTAAAGAGTAATAAACATATTTTCTTTTCCTTATGATTTTCTTAATAAAAAGTTTCTCTAGCTTATTGTAAATATATAATATATAATACATAGAGCATACAATATACATGTTATTGATTATTCATATTGTCAATAAGGCTTCTAGTCAATAGGAGACTATCACTAGTTAACTTTTTGGAGAGTCAAAAGTTAGATGTAGACCTTCCGCTGCATGGGATTGGGGGCTTGCACCCCTGGCCCCTGTGTTGTTCAAGGGTCAACCATGCTCCTGCCTTCCCTCTCAGTGTCCTCCTCTTCCTCCCCTCATCCTGTGCCCTGCCTTTGTCTCTTCCTAAAAGATTAGGTTTGCCACTTGTTTCCCTGATAGAAAGTGTTCGGTTCTGGAGCATTAGCTGAGTAAGTAGCAGTCAGGGCCACTTGAGTGGCCAGAAGTGCCAGGAAGACAAAGAGAGAAAGAGGCTTTTTCCTTCCTTGCAGCTTCGAGGGCTACAAGCAGAGCCATGTCTTCCACTGTGCCTCACACAACTGGGGATCCTCAAAATGTGGACAGAGGGTTCACAGGGTGGGGAAGAATAGGAAGAAAAACAAAAAAGAAAACACAAGAGAAATGCTCACCAAAGCAAAGCAAGACAAGACTGAATCAGGCGTGCAGAGCAGATCTGGGCAGGTCACGTGGGGCAGCAGGAAAGTAGAGAGGAGCATGGGACAAACCAACCTCCTTACCCTCTCGTCCTCTTTGCAGGAAGAGTCAGGTGCAGGGGCCTCAGGAGGTGAAACGAAACTATTTTTGAATACTCTGGTCAGTATGGGAAGAAATTAGTGTAGGTAGGGAACACATGAATTTGAGTCAGGGACCTGTGGATCATCAATCAAATGCTTTACTCAAAAACAACTACTGAAGCCTGAGTACACTTTAATTCTGAACTTCAATGCAGGGAGTCGAGTAATCACTCATGGCCTGCCACCACCCCTAGCTGACTGTGCCATTGCAATTGGTCACCCTCCTACCATGCCCACAGCTTCATTCTGACATCCCCCACCTTCCCACACTCTCCCACCTCTACATACCTGGCCACTTGCCTATGCCTGCAGCTCAGCACCCTACATGCCCTCAGTGATGGACTGAAGGCAGGCACTAGCTTGAACATCACTGATGCTTCCCACTGGGATGTTGTTTAGAATGACAAGTTGTTGTAAGTTCCAAAACAATTTTCCAGCCACTTGGAATTATTGGATGTTAGAACAGGTATTAACAGGGGATTATGCCCCAGACAACCCCCAAAAGTAGAAGTTCTCTGATTCCTCCTCAGTCCTACTAAATTGGAATTTCTAGGAAGTAATCTGTATCTTTGACATGTTCTGTCAGTAATGCTGATGCAAAGTCAGACTACATAACCTCTAATTCAGGCTGTCCTGCCATAATATAAACTTCAAAGAAGAGCAGCTAATTAGAACTTTTGAAGCACATGCAGATTATTACTGACTTGATCATGACTTGTGCCAGAAAAATGAAGTCATGAGAAAACTGACACGAACTATAGGAAGAACAGTGGTGAGGATGACTAGCAAGCTCAACATCAGGAAAAGAGAACCCACAGGTAAGTGGCAGCAGGGAGTAACCGGATTTGAACCGGGGACCTCTTGATCTGCAGTCAAATGCTCTACCTGTGAGCTATACCCCCTTGCCTGGTGGACATTCCTCCTTAGCATATTTCACCTGTGTTGCCACACCCAAGGATTCTACAGTGCACTATAAATTGTATTCATTCCCAGCCAGCTTATGGAAACTGGCAACTCTACCACAACTGACTAGAGACCGCCCTTCTGGTCATGAGTTCACCCCTCCATTTCCCAGAGACCCTTCACTGGTCTAATGGTACTTTCCTACTCTGTAGCCACAACCTGAACTCCTTCAACTATCTCCTCCCATTCCCTTACTCAGTACCTGATGGGAATAGGGGATGAGGGTTGGGGGAGAGGCAGGTGTAAGAATCAAGGCTGTATTAGTCAGCTATTTCCACAACAATGTGTCACAACAAATCATCCCAAAATTAGGCTGTATGAAACCATAAGCATGTCTCGTGCTGATAGGTCAGCAGCATGGATGCCAATCAGCTGATGTAGGCTGGGTCTGCTTCAAGCTGTGGGTCCATCTGTGCTTGGTTTCTGTCTGAGCCGGGCTCAAGTTTGCTCCATGTGTGTTCCTTCCACAATCCCAGCTGGAGGAGTAGCAGCTAGCAAGGGGACACTCTTCTGGTGGTGACAGCAGAAATGCAAAGGGGGAGGCCCAACTATGCAAGCAGCTTTCAAGCCTCTGTTTGCATCACATGTGCTAACATCTCATTGATCAAATCAAGTCAGAGAAGCAAGCCCTAACTCAAGAGCAGGGAAGCATGTTCCACCTCTAGTGGGAAGATCTGCAAAGTCTCATGGTGAAGGTCACAGATGCAAAAATAAGTGAAGATCCAGGGCCACTTCCAAGTGGTTCACTTGTGCCTTGTAACCCCTGAGCCCCCAAGGCCGGTTGTTTCCTGCTTGCCTTCAAATGGAGGGATTAATCTGATCAGGCCCAACTGCCCTGCTTGCTTTTTGTTGTTATTATTTCCCTATTTCCACGAAGCTGAAGGCCACCGTACCTGAAAGCCTCAATGCTCAATGCAGAAACTTAACTTTCATGGGAGGCTTTATAGAACTTACGTAGGTCACATGGTGATGGTCACTTCAGTTGTTTTTCAGGCACTTGGGCCAGCTCCTGTCCAGCTAAAACTGGTTTAGACAACTGACTCTTCAACTGGTCTGAGCAAGTGCCTGAGAGGTGGCCTTTTGATATAAGAGGGCCAAAAATCTCACCCTCAAATCATGCTAATGCCACAATTTTCTGTGGATATGTCCTGTGAAATGTCATGGCATGTACCTGGAGTCCCAGCTATAGAGCAGGCTAAGGTGGGATGGCTTGAGGCTGTAGTGAGCTATGATCATGCCACTGCATTTCAGCCTGCGTGACAGAGCAACACCTTGTCTCAAAAGAAAAAAAAGAGAAGGAAGAAGGGAAGGAGGGAGGGAGTGAAAGAAGGGAAAGAAAGAGAAATAGAGAAATGCCTTTGGTCTTTGATGTTGGTAACCTTCAGATGGGGTTTTTGTGTGGTCGTCCTTTTCGTTTATTTGATGCTATTGCTTTCTGTTTGTTAGTTTTCCTTCTAACAGTCAGGCCCCTCTTCTGCAGGTCTGCTAAGAGTTTGCTGGTGGTCCACTCCAGACACTGTTTTCCTGGGTATCACCAGCAGAGGCTGCAGAACAGCAAAGACTGCTGACTGCTCCTTCCTCTGGAAGCTTCGTCTCAGAGGGGCACACGCCAGATGCCAGCCAGCGCTCTCCTACATGAGGTGTCTGTTGATCCCTGCTGGGAGGTGTCTCCCCATCAGGAGGCACGGGGGTCAGGAACCCACTTGAGGAGGCAGTCTGTCCCTTAGCAGAGCTTGAGCACTGTGCTGGGAGATCCACTGCTCTCTTCAGAGCCGGCAGGCAGAAAAGTTTAAGTCTGATGAAGCTGTGCCCACAGCCACCCCTTTCCCCCAGGTGCTCTGTCCCAGGGATATGGGAGTTTTATCTACAAGGCCCTGAATGAGGCTACTGCCTTTCTTTCAGAGATACCCTGCCCAGAGAGGAGGAATCTAGAAAGGCAGTCTGGCTACGGAGGCTTTGTGGCGCTGTGGTGGGCTCCAACCAGTCCAAACTTCTGATAAATTATAAAAATATATGTAACGTTAAAAACAGCCATGCACTGGGAATGGAGGTGTAGTTCAGGGTAGAGCTTTCCACACTAGCAGCGGAGTTTTCTGGCCAAAACCTGGAGGAGCTGTGTGGTCCTCATGCTATGTTGTCTCCATGATGCTTCCCAGGACTACTCTCTGATCCATGTCAGGGCCTAGGAACTCCCCCAACTTCACCAAGTCTTTCATGAACTGGATTTAATGCAAAGATCCCAGACTGAGAGATATCTATATATGTCAGTACTGCATGTGTCTCAATTTGTGTCTCCAAACTGCTATTTTGTAGTGTAAACAAGAAGACATCAAACATGGAGACCTAAAGGCTGTTCCAGCAGTAAACGGAAACACTCCTCTCAGCTGCTCCTGTCACCACGGACTGAGGGAAAGCGGGGAGATTGTGCAGGCATGTGAGCAGGGGCCAGGGTTTGGCAACTGGGGATGGACTTTTCTGGGGTGAGTTTGTGGTAAAATCAGTTGCTGGTCTTACTCTCTAAAAGTAAGCAGGAACTTTCAATGTGCTGTAGGACTCCTGGGTGCGATTACCAACATGAAAAGTGGTTATTAGACACTTATGACAAGCAGGGCGTATAGCTCAGGGGTAGAGCATTTGACTGCAGATCAAGAGGTCCCCAGTTCAAATCTGGGTGCCCCCTACTGCACTTTTTCTATTCATACAAGCTGTTATATTCTTCACAGAAGCTGTTGGTCACATTCCAGTTTCTTTTCATCCATTCCACCTATGATTTTCCCTGGAACTGGAAGCTACAGCTCAGGCCTACCCAGCTGCAACCTGGCTGGATAACTTCTCCCAGCACCAGTTCCACGGGTATCCCTCATATTCTTGGTATTCTTGGTATCTAGCTCCCTGCTCCCCCTATAGATGTAATTTCTCAAGCTGTGATGCAGTATGCTTCTGGGTTTTTCCAGGGCAGACCAGAGAGTAGTACTGCAGCAGGCTCCCCAGAAACAGATGGGGAATGGTACCCCAAGTTATCACTCTCCTGGCTCCTTCCCACAGCAGCAGTTTGGTGCACTGGAGTGGTGGCCAGACCTGGGGAGACACATCACAGCACACAGCATTCCCATGGAGGGCAGATGTTTCCCCTGGAGAATTGCTCCCACGCAGGGCTCACTCACACCCTTGCTTCAACCTTATAGGCCAAAAGCCTGGCTCAGCTACTCTAACAAGGGAGACAGAGGCTCTGCAGTGCTGCCCCTACGACCAAACTCCTGTAGCTCTGCGGCTGCACGTGAATTACAGCCCACTCTGTGACTGTGGCCCAAGGCTTGGAGGTGGGGGATTAGACTCAAGAGTCTGTTCGTATGAGATGATTGGGAATTCCAACTTTGTTCTGTGGGCCACAGGGAGTCCTGTGTGCTGCAATGAAGAACCAGTGAGGTCCTTTGTCTAAGGAGGTCATTTAGGAGACATTACAGATACTGGTTTGGAGTTTGCCAAAAGACAAGAACAGGAACTGGTGTTATTTTTTTAATGCTTACTATGCCCTACTATGTGCTAATATCATGCTAGGCAGTTTATCATCAGTTATCATATTTGTCCACTCTGTCTTCACTGCAGGAAAAAGGGAGCCGGGCTGGGAGCTTGGGTTAGTCTGTGGACTGTTTTGGACACCAGTGGCCAGCTCTTGGGTTAACCCCAAAAAACAATGGGAAATGGCTCTGAGTTCTGCAGACAGCCTCCATCCTTTTCTCCTGCTCATGGCTCCACCCAGAGACAGACCTGGTGAACTGCAGAGCTGAGGGAAGGTGTCTAGCTGTGAATCAGGTCTGGCAGCTTCCAGAAAGTCAGTCCTGGAGGGAAGCCATCATTTAATTTTACAAAGCTGAGTGTTCCCATACTGATAAAAGGTACTAACTAGGTAACCTCAGTGTGCCATGGGGGTAAAGCTCTGGGCTAGAGCTTTTGACTGTAGAGCAAGAGGTCCCTCGCTCAGATCCAGGTTCTCCATTCTTTATGTTCAATGTTGGTAGATAACTTTATCCACATACAACTTAGACTGGCATAGGCCACACAGAGGGTAGGGTCACCTTCTCAGTCTCATTCTCCACGTTGCCCCCAAACAACAGCTCCTCCACTATCCCTCCACGCTTCTCCTCTCTCAAAACCATCTCCTTCCACCACTCTCTCCTCTCACCATTCATGTCTTCTCTGACATATGGGACTCCACAAACAGTGGACACTTTTAGAACCAGGCTAACAATCTTATTTTCCTCACCGCCCTCTCCTTCTGTCCTCAGGAATGTCAAACACCATGGCAATGTGCGTCCAATGCTAAGGCCTCCAGAGATTTCCATCCTGCTGCCTCTACGAATGTTCACAAACTCCACTCACTGAGGCTCTCAAGGGGTGTGGTGAGGCAGAGTCAGCGTTTTCCACTAGTGTCTTTTACCCTGCTTCTTGAGGCAGGAGAATCGCTTGAACCCAGGAGGCAGAGGTTGCAGTAAGCCGAGATCTTGCCATTGCACTCCAGCCAGGGCAACAAGAGCAAAACTCCGTCCCCCAAGCAAAAAAAAAAAAAAAAAAAAAAAAACCAACCAAACAAAAAAAAACACAAAACTTTCCCTTACCACAACTTCCTCAAACATAGTTTACTCTGACACCTGTATAACCACTGCCAATGCTCGTTCCCTAATTAAGTTACATTACTTTTCAGAGAGATTCTGCCTGTTATTTAGATTGACACCACCTTTTATTGGCTTCTTTGCTTTCTCTGTCTGACTTCCCACTCCCTACTGGTGTTTCCTGAACTTATCTTCCAAATAAACTACCTGCTCTTACATTTTAGTTTCAGAGTCTCTTTCTAAAGAAATCTAAACTAAGACAACAGATTAAAGGAGAAAAATCACGTCATTCAAATAGATGAAGAAAAACATCCAATCAAATCCAACACACCTTCGTGATTCAAAAAAAATTCTTGGAAGCGAGGATAAATATTCTACCTTCTTAATATGTCACTAGCTGTCTACCTGAAATATAAAAAGAAATATTATTTAACGGTGGGGTCGTGAAAGCTTTAAATTGAAAAATGAAAGAAAGACAAATATGCTCTTAAAGGGAAATGGAAACTGAATTGAGGAGCAAAAGACTCTAAAAAAATCACCAAATATATTTTTTAAATGAATCAACTAAGACATTCCAGAAATGAAAAAAAGTATCAACATCTTCCTTTTTATTTACTTTTAACTGAAATATAACTAACAATAAGGTATAGAAATCTTTAACGTACAGCTCAATTAATTTGTACACATACACACAAATGTACCCACCTCCTAAATCAAGATATAGAAGACTGAAAGGAATGCTGCTATGAACAAGAATCTTGCATGTACACAGACACACTCTACTCTCCGTATCTAGGAATACAATTGTTGAGGAAGTGGGTGTTTCTATTTTTGGCTTTAGCCAGTAAGGTCGGACGGTTTTCTAAAGTGGTTCCAGCAAATCACACTACCACTAGCAGGGGATGAGAGTTACTATGGCTCCACGTACCATCACTGAGTAACATCAGTCTCTTTCATTTTAACCAACCTAGCAACAATTCTAGCAATAGTTCACTGCGGTTTAACTTGCACCTTTCTTTTCTTTTCGTTTTGAGATGGAGTTTCGCTCTCGTTGCCCAGGCTGGAGTACAGTGGCACGATCTTGGCTCGCCACAACCTCCGCTTCCCGGGTTCAAGCAATGCTCCTACCTCAGCTTCCTGAGTGGCTGGGATTACAGGCATGCGCCACCAAGCCTGGCTAATTTTGTATTTTTAGTAGAGATGGGGTTTCTCCATGTTGGTCAGGCTGGTCTTGAACTCCCGACCTCAGGTGATCCGGCCGCCTCGGCCTCCCCAAGTGCTGGGATTACAGGTGTGAGCCACCGCGCCCGGCCTAATTTGCACCTTTCTAGACTCATGAGGTTTGAGCATCTTTTCATAGGCTTATTGGTCGCTTGGATGTCCTCTTCTGTGAAGTGACTGCTCAAGTCTCTTCTTCATTTTTCTACTAAGTTGTCCATTTTTTAATTGTCTTGTGCAATACTTTATATATTTTGGGAATAAACCCTTCATCACTTATGTGCAACAGATACCTTCTCCTGCCATGTGGGTTCTTATTCTCTTACTTGTGTTTATTGGCTCTCATGAATGTTAGCTGATTTCTCTGTGAGCTTTTTATCTGTTCAGCAAACGGTATATAGAATTTACTACCTGCCAGTCCTGTTTTATGTGCTTTACGCAGATTAACTCATTCAATCTACACAACAATCCATGAAACATACGCTCTTTTTTTTTTTTTTTTGAGATGGAATCTCGATTTGTTGCCCAGGCTGGAGAGCAGCTGCGCGATCTGGACTCACTGCAACCTCCACGTTCCTATTTTAAGCGATTCTCCTGCCTCAGCCTCCCGAGTAGCTGAGATTATAGGTGCCCGCCACCACACCCGGCTAATTTTTGTATTTTTAGTAGAGACGGGGTTTCACCACATTGGCCAGGCTGGTCTCCAACTCCTGACCTGGTGATCTGCCCACCTCAGCCACCCAAAGTGCTGGGATTACAGGAATGAGCCACTGCGCCCGGCCACTGCTTAGCCCTTCTCGTATCCTGCCTTAGTGCAAGACTGTCTCCTTCCTGATTCCTCACCATGGGTGGGGCCTAAGACTTCTTCTTGGAAATGCCCATTCATCATTGTACTACTGACATCCGGGCCTCCAGAATCCAGCGATGTCCAGGGTCTTCTGCGACTTCCTGGACTTCGCTCTTGTTGCCCAGGCTGGAGTGTGATGGCGCGATCTTGGCTCACCGCAACCTCCGCCTCACGGGTTTAAGCAATTCTCCTGCCTCAGCCTCCCGAGTAGCTGGGATTACAGGCAAGAGTCACCAGGCCCGGCTAATTTTGTATTTTCAGTAGAGATGGGGTTTCTCCATGTTGCTCGGGCCGGTCTCAAACTCCCGACCTCAGGTGATCTGCCTGCCAGGCTGCTGCCCAGGCCCTGCCAGTGGGGAGTTCTGTGCTCTTGCAGGCTCATCAATCCTCCGCATCTTCCTTGGCAGTCCACCCTACTGCCGAAAAGGGAAACCCAGAGGATTTTAACGTTATCATATAAATCACTGCGGAAGTCAGTGTTTCCCGAGGCTGTCAGGCCAGGAGCGGAGAGGAGTGGCTGGCTGCTGGCTGCCTTCTGAGAAGGTGCCCAGGGCTACAAGGCAAAGGCCTGTGGGTAAAGGAGAAAATTCCAGCAGGAAAGAAAGGCAGTTTGAAGAAGAGACAGTTTACCAGCTCCTATGACAAGAGCAGAGGCGGGGCCTTGGCACAGCTGAGGAGGTGAAAAGGAGTTAACCCAAGTGTTCCTCCAAGTCTTCCTTCTAGAAAGGACAGGGTTCTGCCTGCCATCAGGAAGGTCACGTGGGAGGCTGGACACAGTGGCTCATGTCTCTCATCCCAGCACTTTGGGAGGTCAAGGCAGGAGGATCGCTTGAGACCAGGAGTTTAAGACCAGCCTGGGCAACATAGTGAGACTTCACCTCTACAAAAAATAAAATACATTAGCTGGGTATGATGGTACACACCTGTGGTCCCACCTACTTGGGAAGCTGAAGTGAGCTATAATTGTTTCACTGCACTCCACTCTGGATGACAGGAAAACACCCTGTTACTTAAAGACAAAAATGAATCAAGTGGGGTTGTTGTCTAGCAACATATTCTGGTCCTTGAAACTATGTTAACGCTGGCCCTCTTAAGGCTTTCGGGGATTCCAAAATCTACTCAGCTACCGCCTTCTCACTATTTCTTGGAGTCGCTCCTTCTCTATCATTCTCCATTAATATTAATTGAAGAAGTGAAAGCTGGAAGAATCACCTTCTGTCCTAGATTGTAGTTGTGTTGGAACACTGGACCAGGAGAGCCAGGCCCAACTCTGTCATTAAGTGTTTTAGAACAGACACCTCAGTCACACAAAGTTTCTCTTGTATGTGCCCACCATAAACAGTTACTGGAGGATGACTCTCAAGGCCATTCTAGTGGCTGCTGGCAGTGCTTTTCCAGCCTGCTGCCCATAACTAAGGACTCAAGGCAGGGAAGACACAGGCACGGGGGTTATCTGAGGAGCGGGGACTGCCTCTTGCTATGCACAAGGTCAATGAGTTTTCACTGAGGTAGACCTGGCAGCTCCTAGGAGCTTCCATTGTGAAGTGGCAACACACAGGTGACTGGTCATCTGGGTGTGACCGCACAAGTCAAAGGCATTAATTGACCCCCACAGCAGCAGGAAGGGGTATAGCTCAGGGTTAGAGCATAAGACTGCAGACCGAGAGGCCACCAGTTTGATTCCAGATGCCCCCTCCGCATTTTCAATTTTGACATTTTTACATAGGTGCCCACATTTTAAGTTCTTCCTTATTAGACACTTAGACACTAGGGTAAATGTTTCATTTTTCTTTTTTTTTTTTTTCTTCTGAAACCAGCAAATGGTGAGGCTAGAATGTGGTGGTTCTTAACCCCAGGTATAAACTAGAATCACCTGAAGAGTCCGTAAAAGTGCCACTTCCCGGGCCCCACCCCAGACCAATTAAATCGGAACATCTAGAGTGGGGCCCAGGCTGGTGAAAGCTTCCCAGGGGGCTCTAGACTGCAGCTAAGGGCAAGACCCCGCTTTAGCAGAGCTTCCAAGAAGCCTCCTTAGCCCAAGACTGCATTGTTCCCACTCTGCCTCTTCTTATTCATCCTTATTTGAACCCCGAATATCTAGAGAAAGGTCTCAGTTAATTAGGAAAGTGAATTTTGCCAAGGCTGCGGATGCACGTCTGTGACACCGCCTCAGGCGAGTCCTGACCACCTGTGCCCAAGGTGGTAGGGGCACAGCTTGGTTTTATACATTTTAGGGACACACGAGCCATCAATCAATATGTATAAGATGTACACTGGTTCCATCTGGAAAGGTGGGACAATGCCAGGTGAAGGTGGGACAACTGGAAGGTGGGAGGGGGCTTCCAGGTCATAGGTAGAGACGAAAGGTTGCATTCTTTTGCGTTTCTAATGAGCCTCTCTAAAAGAGGCAATCTGATACAGATTTATCTCATAAGCAAGCAGAGCGGTGACTTTGAATAAAATCAGGTTTGCCCTAAGCAGTTCCCAGCTTGACTTTTGCCTTTAGCTTAGTGATTTGGGGGCCCCAAGATTGATTTTCATTTCACACTTATGTGGACAGCACTTAAAACTAGACCAGAACAGCATCTTCCAGGAACAAAGCCTCTTTCTGCATTTCCTAGTTGTACCCCTTCTGGATCCAGTCATTCTGCCTGGGATGGGGTAGTACCGGTCTTCTATTTCCAAGGCAAACCACCAAGATCTATTGCTCAATGAGTAAGCCCTTATAAGGCCAAGACAGTTTGCAGAGGATGAAATGTCAACATGTTAAAGTATAAGTAAAAGTTCTACGTTGTGTTCAGATGTTCCAATTATCAACGGCAATTTTATGTCACAGTTAAGCTTTAAAGGCGAACTTCTGCAGAAGGGATCACTGAATTATATCAACCATCTCAAAAACTAGAGGATGTCATGGCGTTCTATGCTTTAGAGAACAAATAGCTTTTTTGACACAAATCTTAAAATTCATGGAGGTTCAGCTATACAGCATAGAATTCAGAAGCACAATTCATGATTTTTAGTATCCCTTATACTAATCATGTTTTATGAACCTTTTTAAAAAGTATCTAAAATACATTTAATAATTCAGATTTATGTACACAACAGAAGTTTATATTTTAGATAGGTTAAAAACATGTTCCTGTAATAAAACTATCTCAAAGCAAGAAAGTCTTACTATCTTTACATTGAATGGCAGGAAAACACAACAGAGAAGCAGGCATTGAAGACAGAGCCTGGTCAAGTGTAGTGTCACTTGAGGCTCTGTCTAATTTGATCATTTAGCAAATGGCGCTTTGCTCTACTCCTCTGAGTTGAAAATATTCTGCATCCTGTGACTCTCCTTATTAGTATAAGATGTAGTGGCCTGAAAAACAGAGCTTCTTTTATTTTCAATGATGTGCTGCATAATTTCCTATTCATTAAAGTAGATTCCTTTTGTTAACAAGAGATGTGAACTTTTTATTTAGTACTCCCTGCCAACCCCTCCAAAAAAAAGTGGCATTGGTAACTCAAAGGATAAATGCTAGAGGGGATGGGCACCCATTCCCCATGATGAGCTTATTTCACATTGCATGCCTGTTTCACAACAGTTCATATACCCCGTAAATATATACGCTCACTAGATACCCACAAAATCTTAAGGTTTTTAAGAAGTAGCTTTTGCTGTTCCAGTTTCACAAACACTTAGAGCTTTGGCCTAGAACTTGGGTACTTGCCCTTTTCCCGTCCCTGCCCTCCAATGCCTTCTATTAGTGGAAACGGTCTCTCGGGGCAGTCTCCTTCCTGTATCCCCATTACTGTTTCAGCTCCTCCACCCAAGCCCGCCAGCCCTCCAGCTACTCTGTAAACAGTCTCCTTCCTCCTTAGCCTTTCCCTGCAAGTCTGCCTTTTTATCCATCCTTGTACACCTGAAGGCCAGCTTTCCCCTGAAGCCATCCCTCCCCTTCAACCTCTGGAAGGGACAGGGCAGGGTCACCTTCTCAGCCTCGTTCTCCACGTTGCCCCCAAACTCCAGCTCCTCCACCATCTCTCCATGCTTCTCCTCTCTCAAAGCCATCTTCTTTCACCACTCCCTCCTCTCACCATTCATGTCTTCTCTGACATACGGGACTCCACAAACAGTGGACACTTTTAGAACCAGGCTAACAATCTTATTTTCCTCACCGCCCTCTCCTTCTGTCCTCAGGAATGTCAAAACACCATGGCAATATGCTTCCAATGATAAGGCCTCTTGAGATTTCCATCCTGTTGCCTCTAAGAATGTTCACAAACTCCACTCACGGCGGCTCTCAAGGGGTGTAGTGAGGCACAGATTCAGCATTTTCCACTAGTGTCTTCTACCGTGCTTCTTGGTTATCAGCTGGGCACACGGCTTCCCAGAAGGAAATCTGCATTTCCCAGACCCTCTTGGAGCTGTGAGGCTACAGGCAGTAGTCTGGTCAATGAGATGCAGGTGAAAGTGATGGGTGTCCTTACAGGAAAGACTTGTCTTTTCCATCTTTCTGCTGCCTGGGAGGTCGATGAGATGCCAATGTGGGTGATGGCATGCTGGAATGAAAGCCAAGCCGGCCAGACAGCCAGAAAGAAGAACTCGGGTTCTTGACCCTATGGAAAGCCATGCCTGGACCACCTAGCTGTGGACTTTTAAGTGGTAGCTTTTAAGCTTCTAGTTTGTTTGCTTCTTTCCATTTTGCTATAATCCTTTGTTATTTTGGTTGTTCAACGTTCATTGCCAAACTTGATCATCACTTGTTCCCTTTCCAGATCTTAGAAAACTCCTTCAATGACACCTCTTTTGATGTTTACATGTACTTACTGTTACAGAAAACGGTTCATTATCCTCATTTTGACCTTAATCTTGTCTACCTCTCTCTGTTCCCAAGACCCCAGAGCCACCTTGGGGCTCAGCTATCTGCTTGCCTATTATGGACCCCATGTTTGGCCTCTCAGCATGATTCCAGCTCCTTTGAGGGCTTGGCCTGTGGTCTGTATACCCTCATGGGCCCTTCTGCTTCCGCAGATACACTCGCCATTGGCCTTTCCCACCTTTGCTCTGGGGGCGCCAGTCTTTGGTGGAGTAAATTGTACAGCCAGGCAAATGGTCCCACTGCAAGTCTACACCAGTTTCACCTCAACCAGTGCCTCTCTCTAATGAGCAATGATTCTATTCCTTTCTAATTCACCTCTTCTCCATTTCCCACAGTGCCTGGTTCACGCTTTGCCCTTCTTCCCAAGTAATGATTCCCACCCTACCTCCTTTATTCTCTTTGGATGACCTGTTTTCTACCTGACTGAGAAGACCAAGGTACACAGTCCCCTCAGCATCCTCTGCTTCTCTGCATCTTCACCTTCTCCTCAACCCCTCCAGGGTAAGAGACAAAGCCTGGTTTTAACCAATTCCCTGCCAATGGATATTTAGATGGTCTCCAGTGTTTGCTGTTAGGAATTTAAAAACTGCATTCCATGAATCTCCACATATATGTGTCTTCACGCAATTATAGGAATATTTTTGAAGGACAAATTCCTATAAGTGGTACTCTGTAGAGAATCTTTTTGTTTCTAACTTTATTTTAGGTTCAGGGGTACACGTGCAGGTTTGTCATATTGGTAAACTCATGTCATGGAGATTTGGCGTACAGATTATTTCGTCAGCCATGTACTATGCATATGTATTTTTTCTGATCTTCTCTCCTGTCACCCTCAAGTGCAAGTGTGTAGTGTTCCCCTTCTGTGTCCATGTGTTCTCATCATTTAGCTTCCACTTGTGAGAACATGCAGTATTTGGTTTTCTGTTCTTGTGTTAGTTTGCTAAGGATAACGCCCTGCAGCTCCATCCATGTTGCTCCAAAGGACATGATCTCGTTATTTTTTACGGCTGCATAGTATTCCATGGTGTGTATGTGCCACATTTTTAAAAGACTATTATTTTTTGAGTATCTTTTTTTTTAACAAAAGAAATTTGCTTTTCATTTGACAAATTATCACGAACAGTATTCTATGTCAAATACAAGTCTCCAGACATAGCCACTGGGTCTCCTTTCAGTGCAGGGAAAGGTGGTGTCACCTAGTTACAGTTCTGTCCCCAGCCTAGCACACCTCACATGATGTTCAACAATTGCTACTAAGAGAATTATCTGGATGACTTGAAGGGTCTCTCCATTTATAAAGGTCAACAAGCCCACCAGGGTGACCTTAGCCAGAAGTGATGATGGAGAAAGAAGTATTAGTGACAGGAGGGAGGCCAGAGTTCAGAGAAACAGAACTGGCCTGGACATCCAAACCGGCAGAGCTGGGTCTTGGTCTTGGTGTGTCGACACATGAAAATGGTGTTAATTACACTGTCCTCCTATGACTGGGTGTATGGCTCAGGGGTAGAGAATTTGACTAGAGATCAAGAGGTCCCTGGTTCAAATCCAGGTGCCCCCTACCCTGTTTTACTTTTAATCACCAAAGTGGGTCCTGGGTCATAAGCTCCACCCAATCCACCCACTTGGGGAAAAATGACACAGCCTATCTAATCCCTGATGCACAGCATCTCTGAAGTGCAGACTCAATAGTCCTCAAATGATTTTATGGACTTTAAAGTTTGTAAGACACAGACCTCTGCCTACTGCAGCCCTCTGGGTACCACTCCAGCACTTTTGCAGAGTAGTCCAAAATCTCCCTAGGGACATCCACGTGATCCCGAAGAGGGCTGGGCCATGTCTCTAAGTCCTGCTGTATTTTCCACAGCACCCAGCTTCCACTGTGGCACAGGAGAACCTGAAACAGCCACAGTCTCATGCCCGCCTTCAATGGGCATGAGAAATCTAATGAGCTTAGATTTCTGAGCTTAGTGTGCTGCACCCTGGACTTTGGCTCTGGGCCCTCAGGTTCTGGATTTCCCATCTGGGGCTGCTGCAGACTCACACCCTGGCCTACCCAGACCAAGGACTGGGGAAAAGCAGGATTCTGGGAGGCTCTGTGAGACTGTGGGCAAGGAGCGAGATGATAGAGGAAGTCAGCTGGGACTACCCAGAGGACTGACCTGAAACCATCAACCTCTTCTCTCTCCTCCACGCAGACAGATACAGATCATGGGCTCCAGCAAGGGAAAGGAAGCTGGAGTCAGATTCCAAAATCAGTAAATAAAAATAAGAATAGGTAACGGGCAAGCCGATTGGAACCTTTTGGTCTGTCCCCTAAGGCTCATCTCATTATTATGTGATGAAAACCTTGCAGTCTGTAGCCTTTTGGGTGAAAGGAGCACACCGCGCGTAGTAACTGTGGTCTCTCGAGCCCCCTCTGATGGTGGTAGCTAAACAAAGCAAGATGCAGGATGTGTTCTTTTCTGGGATATTCTGATGTTACCCAAATTACTGGATCTCCAGAAGCTTCACAGATGCAGCAGAGCCACCAATAATCCCAAATTATGTGGATATTTCCCACTCCTCCATGTAGTTTCCAGGCAAATAGCTGAAGGGCCTAATATGGGAAATCGGGCAGAAGGATTCACTGTCCGTGACTGGATATTTTGGCAGAGTCCTTTTCTCAAGCTTGGCTTCCCTATCATCAAGGGAGGCAGGTTCTTTGAGCAGATTCAGACCTGGGGAATGGGTCAGAGGTCAGGAACCTCCATTGTGCCAGCTATGGTGGTAGTTCAGGTCTACACGTCTAGGGGACCACGATGGGCTCCCCATTCTCAGGCCGAAAATCCTTACCACTGATGAGTCACAGCCAAGACCTGTGTGGCACAGACCACGGAATAACACCCAAACTTCACTTTGGGTTAAAATATCACAGTGCTTGGCCTCTGACACCCTAGAATCCTCCCAGCCCCACTGAAATCAGGGGCTCCCTTTCCACTATCATCCCTCCCACCAGCATCTCTGTC